>NC_000007.14:84627991-84931021 GCF_000001405.40 Homo sapiens
GGCCCATCATATTCTCTGCCTTGCATATGAAGAAACTGAAGGTCAGAGAATAATTAACTTACCAAAACTTAATGGCAAAGCAGAAAATCATACTCTAATTGTATGTCTTCAAAGTTCTACTTGAGGTCTTTATACATATGTCTGTTTTGTTTTAGAAAAACCTTTCTGAGAGATAACTTATATACATATGAAAACATCCATATGAAATTTACATGTTGATGTCTTTTTTCTATATAAAGGCATAAACCTTTATAATCACCAGTACAAATCAAGATAAAAATGTTCATTATTCCAATAAATTATTTTATTTACCTTTTCAGTCAATTGCCCCCTTATTGTGAGCCACAAATAACCACTGGTCTGCTTCCCATCATGACACTTTGGTGCTTTGTGGTTACATTACATGGAATCTCAAATTATGAAATTCCTGTGTCTGTTTCTATTCCTCAACATAATGTTTTTAATATTCATTCATGCCATTGTGTATATCTATCTATATTGTACAGATTGTAAATTGTTTATACCAGCTATTGTATAAATCAGTGAAGTTTCTTTCTATAGCTGATTGTACTCCTTGGTCTATCTATCTGTCTGTCTGTCTGTCTATCTATCTATCTATCTATCTATACCAAAATTTACTTAGCCATTCATCAGTGGATGGACATTTGAGGTGTTTCCAGGTTTTGGCTCTTATGCATAAAACTTCAATGAACATTTGTTTCAAGTCTTTGTGTGGATGTATGCATTTGTTTTTCTTAAGAAAATACCTAAGTATAGAGTTTTTTGAGTCATTAGATAATTGCATTTCTAACTTTATAAGACACTACACTAATTTGTAACTCTCATTTCCCTAATGGCAAATGATGTTGAGTATCTTTTCACATAATTGTTGGCCAACTGTATTGCATTTGTTCCTTGGTAAAGTTGTGTTCTCTTTTTTTTTTTTTTTTTGTCAAAATGTTAATTGGATAGTTTTTCTTTTTACTACTAAATTGCAAGTGTTCCATATTTTTAAAATAATTTTATATCATGTGAATGTGTTTATTTCTCACCATTATTTTCTCCCAGTTTATGAATTGATGGTTCTCTCAAAAACAGAAGTTTTTAATTTTGATAAAATATATGTTTTCTTTTTCTCCTATGATTTGTGCATTTTGTGTCCTAAGATATGTTTGCCTATTACACATTGTGAAGGTTTTTTTCCCCTTCATTTTCTTCTAGAAATTTTAAAACTTCAGCCATACATTTAGACCGACCGACCAACTTCAAGTCAACTTTTTATTCTTTTTAACTGATATAAGCTAAGGATCAAAGGTTTTTTTTTTTTTCATATGGCTATCCAGTTTATTCAGCACTGTTGAAAGGACTCTTGTTGAAAATCAATTGACCAATAACCTATGACTGGCAGGGCAGTAGGTTTGTTTAGACCTGCATCACCACAAACATGTGAGTAATGTGTAACCTACTGCCCTGCCGGATGTATAAAAATATAGCACATACAGTAATAGTACATAATATATAATAATAATAAACATCTTGTTACTGGTTTATTTATTATATTATACTTTTCATCATTATGTTAGAGTACACTTCTACTTATAAAAATAAATGAACTGTAAGACAGCCTCAGGCAGGTCCTTTAGGAGGTATTCCAGAAGGCATTGTTCTCATAGGAGATGACAGCTCCATGTGTGCTATTGCCCTTGAAGACCTTCCAGTAGGAAAAGATGTGGAGGAGAAAGGAATACTGATGATCCTGACCCTTTGTAGGCCGAGACTAATGTGTGTGTTTGCATCTTAGTTTTTTAAGAAAAAGGTTTAAAAAGTAAAATAAATAAATAAATAAATAAATAAATAAATAAATAAAATAGAAAAAGCTTATAAAAATAAGCATATAAAGAAAACCATTTTATACAGCTATGCAAAATGTTTGTATTTTAATTTATTACAAAATCAAAAAGTTAAAAAATTAAGTTTCTAAACTGTTACAGTAAGCTCCAAAAAATTTATTATTGTAGAAAAAATATTTTGAATTAACTTAGTATATCCTAAGATTATAGTGTTTATAAAGTATACAGTAGTATACAGTAATCTCCTAGGCCTTCACATTCACTCACCACTCACTGACTCACCCAAAGCAACTTCCAGTCCTACAAGTTCCATTCATGGTAAGTGTCCTATAGAGGTGTTCCCGTTTTTAACTTTTAGAGCACATTTTTACTGTACCTTTTCATGATACACAAATATTAACATTGTCTTACAATTGCCTACAGTGTTCAGTACAACATATTGTACAGGTTTGTAGCCTAGGAGCAGTAGGCTATACAATATAGCCTATGTGTGTAGTAGGCTAGACCATCTAGGTTTGTGTAAGTATACTCTATTATGTTCACAAGGTGACAAAATCACCTAATGACACATTTATCAAAATATATCCCTGTTGTTAAGCAATATGTGACTGTGCATATATGTGCACATACATATACACAAATACATAAACATTATATCCATATTTATATCTATATACTGAGAGACTTATTTTAAGGAATTGGTTCATACAATTGCAAGGCTGGCAAGTTCAAATTCTATAGGGTACTCTGGCACACTGAAGACATAGGGAAGGGTTGAACTAGGGAAGTGTTGATGCAGCAGTTCAAGTCTTAAGGCAATCTGCTGGCAGAATTTCCTCTTTTTTTGAGAGAGATCAGCTTTTTTCTATACACATTTTCAACTGACCGAATGAGGCTTATTCACATTATGGAGGGTAATTTGCTTTACTCAAAGTCTACTGATTTAAATATTAATCTCATAGTATTAGGCCATTTTTGCATTGCTAAATCTCATTACCTGAGACTGTGCAATTTGTAAGAAAAGCAGATTAATTGGCTTACGGTTCTGCAGGGAATACAAGCATGGCACCATCATCCTTCCACTTCCGGGGTGGCCTCAGGGAGCTTTTATTTATGGTGGAAGGCAAAGCAGGAGCAGGTACTTCACATGGCAAAAGCAGGAGCAAGAGATAGAGAGAGAGAAAGATTATGTATATAACATACATAATATTTGTACATACTTATGGGGTACATGTGATATTTTGTTACATGTATAGGATATGTAATGATCAAGACTAGGTATTCATGGCTTATCTCACCTTGAGTAGTTCTCATTTCTATGTGGTGGTGATATGGTTTGGCTTTGTGTCCCCATCAAAATTTCATCTTCCCATAATTCCCACGTTATGGGAGGGACCCTGTGGGAGACAACTGAATCATGAGGGTGGGTCTTTCCCATGCTGTTCTTGGAATAGTGAATAAGTCTCCCGGGATCCATTGGTTTTAAAAACAGGGGTTTGCCTTCCACCATTATTGTGAGGCCTCCCCAGTCACATGGAACTATAAGTCCATTAAACCTGTTTCTTTTGTAAATTGCCCAGCCTTGGGTATGTCTTTATCAGCAGCATGAAAATGGACCAATACAGTAAATTGGTACCAGTAGGGTGGGACATTGCTGAAAAGATACCCAAAAATGTGGAAGCAACTTTGGAAGTGGGTAACAGGCAGAGGCTGGAATGGTTTGGAGGGCTCAGAAGAAAACAGAAAAATGTGGAAACGTTTGGAACTTCCTAGAGACTTGTTGAATGCCTTTGCCCAAAAGCCTGATATCGATATGGACAATAAGGTCCAGGCTGAGGTGGTCTCAGATGGAAATGAGAAACATGGGAACTGGAACAAAAGTGACCCTTGTTATGTTTTAGCAAGGAGACTGGTGGTGTTTAGCCCCTGCCCTAGAGATTTGTGGAACTTTGAACTTTAGAGAGATGATTTAGGGTATCTGACAGAAGAAATTTCTAAGCAGCAAAGGATTTGAGAAATAACTTGGCTGCTGTTAAAAGTATTCAGTTTTATAAGGCAAGCAGAAAATAAAAGTTTGGAAAATTTGCAGCCTGACCACGTAACAGAAAAGAAAATTCCATTTTCTGAGGGGAAATTCAAGCCTGCTGCAGAAATTTGCATAAGTAACAGGAAGATGAATGTTAATCCCTAAGACTATGGGGAAAACGTCTCCAGGGCATGCCAGAGGTCTTCATGGCAGCCCCTCCTATCACAGGATTGGAGGTCTAGGAGGAAAAAATGGTTTTGTAGGCAGGGCCCATGGTCCCCGTACTGTGTGCAGTCCAGGGACTTGGTGCCTGGGGTCCTGGCCGCTCCAGCCATGACTAAAATGGGTGAAGGTACAGCTCAGGATGTTGCTTTAGATGATGCAAGCCCTAAGTCTTGGCAGCTTCCACATGGTGTTAAGCCCATGGGTGCACAGAAATCAAGAATTGAGGTTTGGGAACCTCTGCCTAGATTTCAGAAGATGTATGGAAATGTCTGGATACCCAGGCAAAAGTTTGCTTCATGGGAGGAGCCCTCATGGAGAATCTCTGCTAGGGCAATGCAGAAGGAAAATGTGAAGTGGGAGCCCCTACACAGAGTCCCTACTGTGGCACTGCCTAGTGAAGCTGTGAGAAGAGGGCCACCATCCTCCAGACTCCAGAATGGTAGATCCACTGGCAACCTGCACTATGCACCTGGAAAAGCTGCAGACAATCAGCACCAGCCCATGAAAGGAGCCAGAAGAGAGGGCTATACCCTGCAAAGCCCCAGGGGAGATGCTACCCAAGGCCATGGGAGCCCACTTCTTGCATCGGTGTGACCTGGATGTGAGACATGGAGTCAAAGGAGATCATTTTGGAGCTTTAAGATTTGACTGCCCTGCTGGATTTTGGACTTGCATGGGTCCTGTAGCCCCTTTGTTTTGGCCAATTTCTCCCATTTGGAACATCTGTATTTACCCAATGCCTGTACCCCCAGTGTATCTAGGACATAACTAACTTGCTTTTGATGTTACAGGCTCATAGGCAGAAGGGACTCGCCTTTTCTCAGATGAGACTTGGGACTGTGGACTTTTGAGTTAATGCTGAAATGAGTTGAGACTTTGGGGGACTGCTGGGAAGGCTTGATTGATTGGCTTTGAAATGTGAAGAAATGAGATTTGGGAGGGGCCAGGTGTGGAATAATCTGGCTTGGCTCTCTGTCCCCACCCAAATCTCATCTTGTCACTCCCATAATTCTCAGGTGTTGTGAGAGGAACCCGGTGGGAGGTAATTGAATCATGGGGGTGAGTCTTTCTCATGATGTTCTCATGATAGTGAATAAGTCTCATGAGATCTGATGGTTTTATAAATGGGAGTTTCCCTATACAAGCTCTCTCTCTTTGCCTGCTGCCATCCACGTAAGAAGTGACTTGCTTCCCCTTGCCTTACACCATGATTGTGAGGCCTCTCCAGCCACGTGGAACTGTAAATCCGTTAAACCTCTCTTGTAAATTGCCCAGTCTCATGTATGTCTTTATCAGCAACATGAAAACGAACTAATACAGTTGGGAACACTTCAAGTCCTCTCTCCTAGATATTTTTAAATATCCAATACATTGTTGTTAACTATAGTCACTCTGCTATTCAACATTAGATCTTATTTCTTCTACCTAACTGTATGTTTGTATACATTAATCAACCTCACTTCATCTTGCCCATCTCAACCCACATACCCTTCCCAGCCTCTAGTAACTATCATTATGCCAACTTTTTGGCTCACACATACGATGATTGAGAATGTGGAATATTTGTCTTTTTGTGCTGGTCTAATTTCACTTAATGACCTCCAGCAACCATGCTGCTGTAAGTGACATGATTTCATTCTTTTTTATGGCCAAATTGCATTCCACTGTGTATATATGCCACATTATCTTTATTCATTTGTCTGTTGATGGACACTTAGGTTGACTTCCTATCTTTGCTATTGTGAATAGCACCACAATAAACAAAGAAAGGCAGGTATCTTTTTTTATATAATACCTTTTTATCCTCTGGATAAATACCCAGCAGCAGGATTGCTGGAGCATATGGCAGTTCCATTTTTAGCTTTTTTGAGAAATCTTTATACTGTTTTCTGTAGTAGCTGCACTAATTTACATTCTCACCAACAATATATAAGAGTTCCCCTTTGTCTGCATTTTTTACCAGCATCTGATTTTTTTTCTTTTGGTCAATTAATAATGGCCATTCTAACTAGGGTAAGATAATCTATCATAGTGGTTTTGATTTGCATTTCCATGATGATTAGTGACACTGAACTTTTTTTATATACTTGGCCATTTGTATGTCTTCTTTTGGAAAATGTCTATTCATGTCCTTTGCCCAATTTTTCATGGGATTTTTTTTTTTCTGTTGAATTGTTTGAGTTCCTTATATATTCTGGATATTAGTTCCATGTCAGATAGTTTGAAAATATTTTCTGCCATTCTGCGAGTCATCTCTTCACTCTGTTGATTGTTTTCTTTGCTGCACAAAAGCTTTTAAGTTTAATATAGTCACATTTTTATATTTTTGTCTTTGTTGTCTATGCTTTTGATGTGTTAGCTTAGGCAAATATACTGAAGTGTTCCCCTACATTTTTTTCTAATATTTTTATAGTTACAGGTATTTTATTTAAGCCTTTAATCCATATTGAAATAGGTTTTTTATTTGCTTAGTGATAGGCATCCAGTTTCATTCTTCTGCATATGAATATCCAATTTCCCCAGCATCATTTATTGAAGAGGTCATTCCCTGATGCATGTTCTTGGCACTTTTGTCAAAAAGCAGTTGGTGTAAATACATGGATTTATGTCTGAGTTTTCTATTCTGTTCTATTGGTCCCTGTGTCTGTTTTTATAGCAATACCATGCCATTTTGGTTACTATAACCTTGTAATATATTTTGAGGTCAGTTAGTGTGATGGCTTCAGATTTGTTCTTTATGCCTAGGACTGCTTTGGCTATTTGGGCTCTTTTTGGATTTTATGTGAATTTTAAGATTATTTTTTCTATTTTTGTGAAAAATGACATTGATATTTTGATAGAGATTGTACTAAATCTATAGACTGCACTGAATGTATAGATTGCTTTGGGTAGTATGGTCATTGTAACTATGTTAATTCATCTGAGTCATAAACATGGAATGTTTTTCCATTTGTTTGTTTTCTCTTCAGTGTCTTTCATCAGAGTTTTGTATTATTATTATTATTTTTGGTAGAGGTATTTTACATCATTGGTTAAATTTATTCTTAGGTATTATTATTTTCAGTCCATATGCATCTTTTTAGGGGAGATGATTTTCTTGTAGGCAGCATATATTTGGGACTTTAAAAAAATCCACCAGCTGGACTGTATCTTTTAAGTGGAAAATTTAATTTGTTTACATTTGAGATTATTACTGATATGTGAGGCTTATGCCTGTCATTTTGTTAACTGATTACTGATTTTTTTGTATATCCTTCGTTCCTATCTTTCTTATTGTTTACCATTGTGATTTGGTAATTTTTGGTAGAGATAACATTTGCATACTTTGTTTCTCATTTGTGTATTTGCTTTACCAGTGCATATTATATTTTTGTGTCTTTTTATAATGGTAGATATTGTTTTTTACACTTATAAATGTAGAATGTCCTTAAGAATTTTTTGGGGGCTAGTCTAGGTGTGATGAATTCCCTCAGCTTTTGCTTGTCTGTGGGAGACTTAACTTCTCTTCCTTTATGAGCATAATATTTCTGGGTACAGCATCTCTGACTAACAATTTTTTTTCCTAGCACGTTAAATGTATCATTCAATTTTCTCCTGACCTCTAAGTTTTCTGCTGAGAAATCTGGTGTTAGTCTGACGGGGGTTGCCTTATAAGTGATTAGACACTTTTTTCTTGCTATTTTCAGAAATCTGTCCTTGTCTTTGATTTTGATAGCTTAACTATAATGTGCCATGAAGAAGATATTTTTGCATTATATCTGTTTAAGGATCATTGAGCTTCTTTTCTGTGGAAGTCTAAATCTTTTGCTAGACTTGAAAAGGTTTCAGCTATTATTTTGTTAAATAGGTTTTTTATCATTTCATTTTCTTATGACCTTCTTGGATGCCCTTTTTTTTTTAATGGAGCATCATTCTGTCACACAGGCTGGAGTACAGTGGTGTGATCTCGGTTCACAGCAACCTTTGCCTCCTGGGTTCAAGTGATTCTCCTGCCTCAGTCTCCTGAGTATCTGGGATAACAGGTGTGCACAACCATGCCCAAGCTAGTTTTGTATTTTGTGTAGTTTCACCACATTGGCCAGGCCGGTCTCAAACTCCTGACCTCAGGTGATCTGCCTGCCTTGGCCTCCCAAAGTGCTGGGATTACAAGCATGAGCCACCACACCTGGTCCCCCAAAATTTGCATACATGATTACTTTATGGTGTCCCATATGTCACAAAAGCTTTGTTCATTTTTTTTTTTTAATTTTTTTTTTGTCTGACTGTATTATTTCATATGACTTGCCTTCAACTTTGGAAATTCCTTCTTCTGCTTGATCTAGTCTATTGTTTAAACATTTGAATGTATTTTTTATTTATTCAATGAATTATTCAGTCTCAGAATTTTTGTTTGGTTCTTTTTTAATGATATCTATATCTTTGGTAAATTACTCACTCATATCCTGGATAGTTTTTTCTGGTTCCTTTGTATTGTTTTTCAGAGCTTTCTGAGCTTATTTAATATCTCTATTTTGAATTTTTTATCTGGGATTTATAATTTTTTTTTCATTGGAATCTATTGTTGGAGAATTATTGTCTTCCTTTGAAGGTGTCATATATTTTCTTGGTTTTTCATGTTTCTTATGTATTTACAATGATATGCTTCCATCTGATATAACAGTCACTTCTTCCAGTTTTTTGAATTTGCTTTCATTTAGTGGACTTTTTCCTGAAGGTGTACTTATGATGTTGTTTGGGTAGGCCACTTTAGCTTTGATTCTAGATGCATGTAGTAGTGTAGACTTCGTATGATTTCTTCAGTTGTAAACAGTGTCATTAGTGTCTGTGATTTCTTCAGTGGCTTAGGCTGCATTTGTTAGTGGATGCTACAGTACAGTTTTGATGGGGACATGCATGTCTGGTAAGCCAGTCCTCGGGCCGCAGTGGGGGCAACAGCAGGACAAGCATTTTTGTCCTTGGGCCCCAAAGTGGCATATGCTGGCACCATGGTTGGCATGTTCAGGAAGACAGATTCCTGGGCCTCCAGGTGGCTTTCTTGGGTGCCAGCAGTGGCAGCACTAGGCCATCCAGGTGGGTGGGCTCTTGGGTCCCTGGACTTCAGCATGACGTGGATGATGGAAGTAGCAGTGGCAAAACAATCCTCTGGCTCCCCAAGTGGTCTGCTTTGGTCTTGACAGTGGCTCAATCAGCTGGATGGGCCAATCCCCATGCCCACTCATGGAATGGGTGGGTGGGTGCCAGCTGTGATGATAGTGGCAGGTTAAGTGGGCCTATCTTCATGCCTCCAGAAGGAGAGCTCTGGTGCCAATGGTGGTGGATAAAGCAGGGGATCCCCAAGTCCTTGGATGACATGTTTGGCCACTAGGATGAAGTATGGAGCTGGGCCAAGCAGGCCTGTTCTCTGGTCCTTTAGTGGTGTGTGGGGGTGTTGGCTGTAGTAGGTAGGAACAGGGTGATCTCTAGGACCTCAGTAGAATACTCGAGTAGGGGTGAGGGGCAACAGCAGTGCACTGTGGCTCTGCTCCTGGGGGTAGGAAGGTCATTGCCAATGGCTCACATCTTGGGCCTGTTTGCAGCAGCCAGCAGTGCCTCCAGGCTGTATGTGTGTGTGGGATATCAGTGGGGCTCCAGGGCTGGGCTGGGCCCCCAGGACTGGATGCAGTCTGGTGAGGACTGGGCTCTCAAAATGGTACCTTGCTGTATCTGCTTAGGGCTTGAAGTATGTGAGACACGGTGTGACCCCCACATTCCTGGAGCAACACCACTGCATGGTTTCTAGATGGCTTTCTATGTTAGTCTCAGGACCTGAGAGGAACAAAGGGCTCTCTTGTGGCTAGAATTACAGGAGTTATATCTGTTTTCTTAAAGAACTTCTTTCATTTCATTTAGTTTGGAATCCACTCATATATATTCTTAAGATTATCTAACCATTCAGTTCTTCTATCACCTAGAAGCATTTATTTCCCTTATTCATAAAGTACAAGGAGACATTTTTGACAACTACTATGGCCTATGTCTTCAGCAATCATTTGATCTAGGAATCTAATAATACAGTTAAAAATAAAAAAAGGAAATGACACTTGTTTGACATGACTAGCTTCTAGTAAATTCATGCTGACTGCCAGCATTCTCAACATTCCTAAGCCTAACTGTGTCATGTGCTAAGAAACCAGTCAAAAATTCCTTGGTGAGCTATGTAGTTTTGAGCTTTACTCATTTCCTCTGTTTGAAAATTAAGATATTTACTTCTCTGCTTATTTCTCATTAATCATAAATTCTGAAAAATTATCAGGAGTGGTTTTACTAACATAATTACAATTACTTTTGGCCTAAAATATAATTTTCTGGGCCTAGAATAGTTGAGTGTTTTTAATTAAAGAGCTTATGATAACTACTTTTTACCCATTATAAAACATCTGAGCTTTTAAAATGCATTAAGATTAATGTAATGATATCTTACATTAGTAGGCATCAGGAAGCAAAGCAGACATTGTTCTCACCCTCACAAAACCCACAGTTCAGTAAGAGAAAAATATAAAAATATTCACATACACTATGTAAAATAAGAAATGTGAAATGTCTTAAGAAAGAACAATCAAATAGTGTTGAAAAGACAGGAGAATCTAACTGAATTTGGGATGCCACAGAAGGCTTATCATAGGGAGGTTTTAAAAATGGTAGCAATAAACTAGCAAGGTAGGCAGTAAAGATAAGAAGGCTAGCATTCTAAACAGAGGGAACAAACAGCATGTGCAGAGGAGCTTGAAAAAAAAATAAAAAAACAGGCTTACTTAAAGCCTTAGTGTTGTATATCCACAAATATTTCTCACTAATTGCCTTTTCTTACTTTTCATTTATAATAGAAAGGAAGTTTATTTCTTTTTCCTAATGTGCATCTAGACCTTAGAAAAAAGTCTCACATGGTGCACATGCATTAAATATTTGTTAACTGCCTCAATGAATAAAAGAATGCTATTCATCAGTCAAAATTATCACCCACTTTTAGTGCAGTTACCATATTTATTCTTATCTTGGTTTGTTGTTCAGTGTTCTTTATCACTTGGTACATTTCACCTTTTCTTCATAGTCAAAAATTTACTTTTATGTCTTAAGTCAAACTTTCATCCACAAATCCCTTTCTCATGCTCTACTCTGGTTTAGTCTTTCTTCTCTTGCACTCCTGTCACATCATAATATGTGCTATGTTATTAATATTTAGTATCTTACCATATGCAACCGTTATTGCTATTTACTTGAGTTTTGTTCATCTATGTACATATATTTGTTTTTAAATACAGCTACCTTCAAAGTGGTAAAGTTTATAGTCTCCCCTAAAATATTTCCAGGTTTATATCCTAACACTGTGATTCTTGAAGGCAATGAGTGCTACATATGTGTTTCAATCTTCTCTCATGTTTCAGTTAGCAATGTGCTCAATACATTAATATGTTCATGTATTTAAAAAAATTCTTTCTTGTTAACTTATTGAAACATTATTATTACCTGATATTTATGAAGGTTGTATTGAGAAATTGGATTCAAGATGAAATAAGAGCAGTGAGGATTAAAGGAGTCTATAGGTACTAGAAATCAAAGCACACAAATAATCAAATTCAAAGAAATCAGACATCAAGTAAGCTAGTGGGTTAGAGAGTAGATAAGAAATTAAAAGAACAAACGAGACATATCACTGTAAAATAAATGTTGCTTCTGATTCCACATCTGATGAGGCATGTTTGTTGGGGTCTAGTGAGTGGTTAGCAGTGGAGCAGGAAAATAGTATACCTTAATTTAGTACCTACTAAATGTCCCTTACTTCTCTTACTTTACATATTAAATGTCATTTAATTCTCACAAATCCAATGAAATATGTATTGTTATCCCCATTTTATAAATAAACGATTTTAAAGAATATTGGTATATTTGGTTGATATATGTAAATGTATATTCTCCAAAAGAAAAGTCTTAACTACAACTAACTTTTATTGGTATAAGTTTTCAACGTGGTTTATATTAAACAATACAATGTGGCAGGTGAAGTTTGCCGTTTTGTTGTTTTTGTTCTTACTATCTGGTAGTACATGTTGAAGTTTATTTATATTAAAAGTTGATTTGCTAAACATTAGGCATTTTATGTGTGCAATGCATTTTATGCATGTTGAGATATTAATAATAAGCTCTCTGCAATTATTAGAATATCATTAATTCAGCCAAATGCTGTGAGAAGATTTAAAAGTCTCTATTATTTATTTGTTCATTTTTGATAAAATTCTTGATCTTTATTTGGAGGAAGATCTTGGTAATACCTTGTAAAGTGCTCCTTTGACTGCCTTTTTTGTTTTGCTTGTTTTGTTTTGTTTTAATCTGAGTTTTGTTTTAATACCTTAATTTACTTAAGAATCTATCAACTTTACCAGCAGATCAAGAATGATCTGCAACATAGTATTTATTCTCTAAGTTTTTACTAAAGCATATAGCCCATATTTTGGATACCAAATTCTTATCAAAAGCATATTTGTAAGATAAAACATTTGTGGAAGTTTGCATAAAGAATATGCAGTCTATTCATAAGCCTAAGAAAAGTTTTCTTATGAGTTCTTTTCATTCCCATGTGTATATGTATGTATGTGTGTGTGCATAAAAGTGGAAGATTTCACATTAAAATTAAGGCTTCTCTGAAAAACAAAATCCGGCTGCCTGACAATCACATTTCTACAAGACAATGCCAAGATTAAGCTGAGAATGGCCCTCCAGTTTTCTACAGTTTTCTCCTATCCTCTTAGCCCATAAGACCCATTATCTAACCTGCCTGGCCTCTAACAGGCATGTGGGTTTACAATTTCTGAACTAAGACTTTGGAGAACTGTATGCTTAATCAACATTGTTTTCATCCCCTAAAGATTGATTTTATTAAACTATACTTGGGTGGTATACCTGTATTTTACACCAAGTATTGCTTGTGCAAAACAGTTATATATAATTCCACATGGAAAGATGCGAAAATTGATTATCAACTATCATCCACTGTGTCCTTTTCCCCCTACACGATAGGTTAAAACAAACAAACACAAAACAAAACAAAATAAGAACAAAACTATTCTTTTTGTGCAGTTGGCAGTAAATCATAGGGATTAAGGGGCCTGGCTCTAAAAGCAGACTGTCTGCACCTGAATCCCTGCTTTAACACTTACTACTCTGTAATTTTAGAAGTTATTGAAACTTTCTCTGCCTCAACTTCTTCATCAGAAAAAAATCTGAAGGTGAATAATTATAATAAGATAATTAAGGTAATTTTAAAGAGTAAGTAAATTAACACTTGTAAATAACAAACTAACAGTAAGTAAATCTACATCTGTAAATAAATTAATCAAGTGCCAGACACATGGTTAGGACTCAATAAATGTTAGTTATTATAACTTATATTACAAAAAGTTAACAAAGCTGAAAAGTAAGTCCAATCATAATCCATATATTATTTCAATCCTAAGTAGTATTGAAGACACTAAGGGATTTTTCTAGGGAAATGTATTTAGTTCAAATCTTTGTTCAAAATTAAAGATTGCATATTGTGTAAAATTTGCTAATTTTTGTTCAGTAGAAATTAAATTATTTCTGCCTGGTAGCACAGATAATATCAAAAGTTTAATATCCATAGGTTATTAAACAGTTTTGTCTCTAACACAAGAGACTTACAATATTAAATTATATTTAATCATATCAATTTCTATTTTTATGTGTGTGTGTATAAATATATATATATATATTTCTCAAATGACCTTTAGCTCATTGAGCTAATTTTAATATCTTACTAATATCCTCTTGTAATATAAGTTGAAAAAAATTCCCTAATACATATTCATTTTGTATTTGTGTTATATCACTATTTTACCTCTTTTAACGTTTACTTTAATGCCTATTATACTCCCTTCTTGGTTTTGTCTCCTAAGAAGCTCCATACCCAGTTTATGACAAGTATACAACTCTAATCCTGGCTTCAATATATGATTCTACCCTTAATAGCTAAGCCATTTTACCTATATCATCATAACACTATATAATTCTATCAATCACTTTAAATGAGTTTTAATGAGGCATACTGTACATTGCCCTAGAATCAATCCAATAAACAAAACAATTTACACTTTTTATAATCATTTCCTATCTGCATCACGTTTTATCATCTTCTCTTATGACTGTCTTGAAAATTGAAACCATATCTTGTTTTAATTTCTTATTTTCTTCTTATTAAACAAAACAATAAATATTTTAATAATCACAATATTTAAGAAACATTCACAGAATGTAATGGGAACAAGAGAATGCACACACTTAAAGTTGTGTTTAAGATACTACTAGGAAAATATCTCACAACCATGGAATCTTTCATTTCCCTAAGGAAGAGTTTTTCATGGAGAGATGCACCTTTTCACATAACAAATCAATTGAATAATATTTTACACAGATGTATCACATTTTCCAGTGAACAAATCAATACCACTGACTATTTTACAGCACTGGATCCTGAAACACAAAAATTTCCTGATACACCTTAACTCACCCAGCAGGCATACTGCAAATCTGAAAACATAATTCACTTTAAAATTAAAATGTTAAAAAATTGTCTATATTAAAACAATCAGATTGAATGCTTTTCAGCGAATACAGTCGGTAGTACCCATCTGCGGGGAATACTGAAGGAGATAACAGTGATGAAAACCTGACAACAACCTGACACATGAAAGGAAATTCCCACTATGATGGGAGAAGTGAAAGTCACATCTGTTATTAACATTAAACAGAAATAAAGCCACTCAATAAAAAGTGGTACAAGGAAATGCAAACAAAATTGCAATTTTGATTTTGCCTTTTTAAAATGCCAGAATTTTCTGTTAATAGAATAACTATTGAACAAATATGATATGTGTAAGACTATTAGCAATTTTACAGAGTTCTCAATAAGACAGCTGGTAATAGTCAACACTACCTTTATGTAACTATAAAAATAATCTTTATATTTGATGAGATATTTATATTAATTTTAGAATTATGAAGAGATTAGATGCTTAAGCAGTTCAAATTTTTATAATTAGCAGATCAGATTACTTTTTCATATTTTGTGGGTACCATCTGTTTATAAAGCAGTAGTTGCTCTACAGAATATACAGGCTATGCCGCTTTACTGCAGTTATAGTTTAGCCATTCAAACATACAGAACTCAGCTGGGAAAAGAAATTATCGCCCTTACTATCCACCCTTTTCTTTTGGAGATTCACTGTTAAATGTAAGTTCAACCTCGGGCATTTCGATGGCTCTAAAACATTTGCAATTTCTTGTGAATGGATTCCAACCATATACCAAAATATCTGTTTCTGAGCATATAGACCACATATATTTGACATTACCTATCAACCGGCATCTTCTCCAGAACAATTATTTACCTTTTGTATCTAAACTTTTGTATCTAAACTTTGATCCTGCACCATGTATGATGGTGTACATTAATGTGGACAGAACTATTCCTTTAGCTGTACTGAGGAGACATATGTTTTCACATCAAAAAATCTTGTGATTTCAGTTTGAGGGAAGATTGAGTGCCACTACCATTTATTTAAATGACTAATCATGCATGAAATTGTAGAGATTATGATTATGAGGATACAGTTCTAAAAACTGCATCATATGTTATTTAACAACACAGAGACTGTTAGTAAATGCTAATTAAATGATCAACTGAAAAAGTCACTAATTCTGTTCAGAAAATAAAAACCCTAGAATGTTTGAAGAAATGGATTTTCTCTTTTACTTTTGGCCATCATCATCCATATACTATAGCATGCTAATATATGCTAATATATGCATATGGATGTTCTTTATTCCCTGATTGAGCTGTGGCTTTTCTAAAATAGGATAAAAGTAAAAGATGGGGACCATGACTTTACTTTTTACTTCTCCAGCTGTTTAGAAGATAAGATGTCTTTTTTCATAGTGAGTAGGTTTAGATAAGATTAAAAGGAATTTGAATTTCTCCTTTAAAAGCTAGAGGTGGTCCCTACAGCTAAAGTTCCATCAGTTGAAAAACTTTGATTTGTGTGAACTTGAGATGCTCAATGAAAATTAGAATTTCTGCTGGACAATAAGGGATACCTTCAATGATGGAATGATACTTAGATGAAGAAAACGTACTGCAAAAGTAAAAACTAAAGGAATGAAGAAAGAATTCTAAAAATCTTAACTCTTCAACTTTTAGCTCTTCCTTAAAATTGACTAGAACCTCGTTATCTCAGTTATTTGTCGTTTTGACTGTTGATCACTGAGGAGGGAAAGGGAGGCATGGATTATGACAACAATGTAAACTTAAGACACTCCTTAATAAAATTCAGAATTGTTAAAATGGAATTGAGCAAGTGAAATATAGGAATGATTTTGGGCACCACACTGATCTTTATTTGAATTGCTGCTTTGCCAAATTCTCCTTAGGGTAATAAGGGGAAAAATAATTAATATTTATAAATCTTAATTCCTTCCTCTCTAAAATGATGATAACAATAATAATGCTTATTTCACTAGATTGCTAAAAGTAGTTAGTGATATAAAACATGTAAAGCTCCTAACACATTGCAGGCATTTAGTAAATAGTAACAATTACAGTGGTAGTAACAGTAATATCTTTAGACGTGAAAAAAACATAAGACATAAGTGACAGAAAAATTATGTAAACATTAATTGTAGGTAACCAGATATTACCTCAGAAAATTATTACTATAGTTAAAGATGAATTATGATTAAAGAAAGAAATTTAACTGAAGTTGGTCAACCCATTATCTATATTGCAGTGTTGAATATTAATCCTGTTTAATGAACAGGACACCTTTACCTATAGATTTAATTATACAGTCTGTCTCATAGATATACTTCTGAAACGTTGATAGACACATCTGGCTATTGTAACATATAACGCATATTTTATATACACACACGCATACACACATATAACACACATATTGCATTATTGACCACCATATTTTGATTGCATGTTCAACAAGCAGTTCTCTAATTATTATTTGGTATTATATGTATTTTGCCTACCAAGGTAGAATGTGCTTGTCAGTAAGCCTGATAAATAGTTGTTATTAACTAATGAACTAACCTGTCTTATGCATCAACTGCCATAAATTTGGTTAATATTATATTAGCTCGATTTATTGAGTCTGATCATTCTGAATCACCCTCTTTGAAATCACCCTGACAATGTGACCTTATCCAATAAAACGTTAGCATAAGCAACAATTTTAACTTCCAGGAAGTTTTAGGAACATATGTATAAATTGTTACCTTCTCTTTGCCTGCTTTAATGATTATGGAAGCATGTACCAAGATGGAGTTTCTATCACTGTGCATGCCTGAATGATTACAATGAGCCTTTAGACCTTCTTCCCCCTGCAGTTCCTTGGTCATATAACAGAGTAAGCAGTTTGAATTCAACCTCTGATATGTGGGGTTACCTGCTACTGCAATATAATCTACCTCATTCTATATGATGTAATATCTAATTGCACACCTTTGAGAAATTGTATTATAGTATTGTAGTAGTTAAGACTTTTTTTTTAACCTAAACATTAAATAATGTGTTCTCATATCATTTTTGTTCCCTTTCTGTTACTCTTCTGAAGTATGGGAATCCATAAGTAACTGGAAAAAAGTATTGTTTTGTTCCATTAAACTACCTTAACCATAAATGTCAATATTGTAAAAGCTCTATTAATGGAAATATATAGCTCTGTACCTCATACTCAAGTATTTTGAGGGATATGTTGTTCCTGATGTAGAGGGAGATGAAATTTTATTCTTTAGAAATATTTTCTACAAGTAGACATTCCTAGGCTTATCACTAATTCTTGTTCACCCAAGTGTAAAGCCAATTATCTAGTTTAGTTCAAATTCATTTAACACTTATTATGTTCTTTATATTACTCTTAGTGTTTTTATTTATTATTCTACTTAATCATTGCTATAACCCTATAAGCTACTGCTATGTTATTGTACAGGGAGAAAAATTAGGGATACAAAAGTTCAAAATATGTCCCTGGGTATGAAAACAGAAGGTGATTGAGCAGCTGCCTCTTAGCTCTCTTGTGTTATCAAAAACATCTGATCAGCTCATTAATTGATATTCTAACATTATCATTAACTGAGCATTTGTCCACTGTATTTTAACATGTGTTTTTGGTCTAATGGTTTTCTTAGTAATTAGGAAGTAAAAATACCAAACATCTCAAAATTGCAAAATCTAATGCATTTTTTTATGTTCAACCAAGATTAATTAGATTTTAATAAATATAATGTATGTTTAAACACACACTCCCACCGCAGAGATAAAAAAAAGAGTATAGGACAGAAAGAGCAATGTGTGTGTATCTTCTGTGCGTATATCTTAGGTCTCCAAATTGAGGTTTACATAAAAAACCTAGTTAGTAGGCACAGTAGTTTGTGGGACAGAAATATCGGCTGTTGAGCTATTCTGCTCTTTGGTGCATTGCAGTAAAGCTGCTGATGTGATAATTTATTAGCGGCACGTTGCCTTTCACTAAAGACAATACCTGTAAAATCAAAGGTGGGTGAGGAGTATTATTCATTTTCAATTTAGTATTCAGCACAAAGCACATTTTTCTATTGGTGTGCTTTGTAAAGGGAAGATAAACATATCAAGAGTTGAAATGAACTGGCAGAAAACAAGTGGAACAGAATGTTAGTAGAATGTTTGTTCGTGGATGTCACAAAAATAGATTAATACATTCATAAATAATAAGCACACAATAAAATTTTTATATTAAAATTTAAAACTTACCAAGAATTGAAAAGAACTGGCAGAAAACAAGTAGAATGTAATGTTAACAGAATGTTTCTTCCTGAATGACATGAAAATTAATTAATATGTCCATAAATAATAAGAACCCAATGAAATTTTAATATTGACCAAATAAAGTAGCTAAGAGTTTCCATAGACATAGGAAATTTTTTGTTTTTCCAAAACAAAAATTACCCTTTAAGGTAACAAAAATTTTGTTTTTTCAAAATTAAAATTCCTCTTTTAGGTTGCCCAAGGAATGATAATATATGTTTTAATATAAAACTTGATTTTGTTGTTAATTTGGAACAAGCTATAATGATTATTTTGCATAAAGTATTTCATATTTTTTTCTGTTTTTCTGTGTTTTCATCTAACATACACTTAATCAGCTATTGCCTGAATGATACTGTGTAACAGATCATTCAGCATTGTCTGCAATATATATCTATATGGGAAATTTCCTATATATTTTTACTATAAATTAAAGCAATCCTATTTTAATTTTCTTAGAATACAACAGTGAAGATTAAAATGAATTGGTTAGATTTGTCAATCACTAATTTAAATAGGCTTAAATATTCATAAGAAATGTCTTTCTTAATAAAAAAAAATTGTGCATATATTAATACCTTACCTCTTTCCTAAAAGACTTGAGGCAGTAGTGGAATATTTCTTAGAATAAAGGGTTTTTTTGAGTCAACAAAAATTATAGCACGCTGTTGGAACTACTATATGAGCTTCTTAATTTAAATAACTCAGGATACAAGGAGTAAAAATTAGAGACCCACATGAGTGAAATATAAGATCTGAACTTCCTGAATGATTCACTTAGGGCAATAACAGGCTATCAATAAAAAGCTATGAACTCTCTCAACCATATGTAAAAAAATAAATAAATAAAATTTTGCACACACAGCTAAATCTCATGTTGCAAATTGTTTTTATATCCATGCTTAAATATTAAGTTCTAAAGAGAATACCCAAGAGAACTGTGGAAAAGGGCTGGTGAACTAGGGACAAAAAAATGCATGGAATGCCTGGAAACAGCTTATTTTACCAAGCTATGAAGTAACTAAAAATGGCAAGAGAATGATTGGAGTACTGTAATTTCTGGGCCCTAAGCCTGTTCTTTAGGAACAATCTGTGTGCATTTGTTTATTCTAAAATGCTAAAATTCCTGACTCAAAGCTTATACAATGAATCTCATTCTGGAAATCATTCCAGCAACTGCAAGAATCAAATGTTGTGAAGAAAAAACTAAGATGAATGGGAAATTATATCCAAAGCATCTGCTGTCAGTGTTGCTCTGATTGGATACAAAGGCATGAACAAGTCATGCAAAAGCTTAGTTCTCACAGAAAACCATGCAAGTCGGGTGCCTTTTTGCCAAAAAAGAAGAGTAATGTACTAAATTTTAAAATGGTCAGTAAATTAAAGAGAATCTTATAGATGATGTGATACTAACACATCTGTGCATTTTGGGTTTTATATCTTGTGCACATTAAATTTTAAACAGGGCGATCACAGAAGGTATATCAGCTATTGCCACAGAGTGCTAAGTAAAAACAACACAGTAACATACAACAACACATGTTTATTTAGCCCACAAGGCTGGGGGCCTGTTACAGGATGCTGATCTAGGCTGAGCTAGGCTGGGTAACTTAGCTCTGCTCCATGTGTTTCTTGTTCTCCTTCTGGGATTGATGGATCAGCCTGGATATATTCTTCTCATCTGGATAGCAGAGGTGCAAAAGGGAAGATTTAATATTACAATTTTTTTTCAAGCAGAAACAATCTATATAACATCCATTGGCAATTCACATGGCAAAGGCTAAAAGTCAAGGGAGCTAGCGGGGAGTGTAGGTAAGTACACAGCACTTGTGCAGGTGGGATAGGGGAATGCATGCTTTTAATCTGTAATATACCATAGAAATCCCTTCTGAAAATAGCTCATTTAAACAAAGAACAATGGAACTAAGGAAGCAGAAAGCTGTGCTTATATTGGACAAACAGCATTACTGGAAGAAGTAACACCAAAGAGCAAAGATACAGAGTTGGGAACATGACACTGATGTATCCAGGAGCTAGAACAGCTTGACTGCAAAGTATAGTATAGAAGAGTCACAGAAGTTAAAGAAGACTAGGCTGTGTATGACATTTTGTTCATTGTAAGTTGTTTGATATTGATTCTGAAATGAGTAGTTTCTGAAAACTTTTGTATGGAATAACAGGTTCCTTCCAAATTATCACCATAACAGCTCTTTCAAGAACAAAATTTTGAAAGCATAGCTGGCACCAGCAAGACAAGGTTGGAGGCTAAAATGCAGAAATTTAACTAAATTGATAATGAAAGAAAGAGTGAATAGAGTGAGATTTGGTATATTTTGTCATTCTTCTCATCTACAAATATTTATTGATTACCTACTATGTGCCAGACGCTTTATCTAGCTTATATCTAGAGAATAGATTATGAAGGCATGTAGAATTTGCTAATGGATTAGATATAGGAGTAAGAAAAAGGAGTTAAAGACGTTAGCGAGGGCTTTGGCCTGAGCAACTGGGGTGGATGGAGCTGGAGAAGGCTCTTGGAGGAAAAGCTTCAGGTACAAAGAATAGGTGTCTACATTTTCTCCTGCTGAATTAATTAATGCTAACTACCCAAGGAGAGATATCCAGTAGACAAATAGTTGCATGAGTTTAGAGATCAGGAGAGAGGCCTGGGCTAGAGATATAAATTTGGAGCCATCAGCCTGTAAATGCATTTAAGGCCATGAGAGTAGATGAGATCATTAAGGAGTGAATGTACAGAGAAAAGATAATTATGAACTAAAATCTAGTACATTCAAGCGCTGAAAATCAGGAAGATGAGGAGAAACTCTGAAAACAAAATGATAATTGGCTGACTGAATAGAAGAAAAATCAGGAAATACATTGTTCCAGAAGAAAAGTAAAAAGAGTTATTCAAGGAAGAAGAAGAAGTCAACTATAACAAACAGAGAAATGCCATGATTTAGGAGAGGGAAAGGAGCCTCCAGATTTGGTGAGGTGTCAGATCAAGCAGCTTAACTGTGTACAGCTGCTCCACCAAATCTGGAGTTTCGTTTATATCCTAAATCTTGGGCTTGTGTGGTTTAACAAGAAAAGATTTTCACTCACGACACAAGAAAAAATGAAAAATGTTGTATTGAACCTCTATTTTTTAAACTGAAAGTAAAATAAAAATTAATCATAAGAAGAGAATATGGGCTGGGCATGGTGGCCTATACCAGTAATCCTAGCACTTTGGGAGGCCAAGGCAGGAACATCACTTGAAGTCAGGAGTTTGAGACCAGCCTGGGTAATACAGTGAGATACTGTGTAATAACAACAAAATATTAGCTTGGTGTGGTGACATGTGCCTATAGTCCCAGCTAGTCCGGAGGCTGAGGCGGAAGGATTGCTAGAGCACAGGAGTTCAAGCCTGCAGTGAGCTATGATTGTGCCAATGCACTCTAGCATGGAAGACAGAGCAAGATCCCATCTCAAAAAAATTAAAGGTTTTTTTATATTAAATTTTTTTAAAAGAGAAATATGAAAGCGGTGAAATATTCTATATATTTAACTCAAGTATAAAGCTTTCCTTGCTTCCTTTTGCATAAATGACAGCAGAAAAAAAGGAGTTAAGTAACGACAGCCAGTCAATCAAAAAACAAAGGACATTTTTTCACTACATAACATACATCCTTCCACATGATCCGTGAAAACTAGAAATAGACCATATACTGAGTATGTAAGACAAAAAGCTCAGAGAAGATTTAATGAAAGGATGTAGCAAGAAAAAAGATGAGTAGAAATTGAAACCAGCTCTTCGAGGTGGTAGCTTTTGAGCCTCTCTAATACAGTCCTCTCTTGTGTTACGTGGTACACATGAGGTCATTTTTTATAAGGCTGACGTGTCTAATGATAATAAGTAAAGATGAGCTGGAACTGAAATCTGTAACATGACTTCTGACAAAGAGTGCCAAAACACACATGGGAGATCCAACCTGAGTAGCTAAAAAATAACAGATCCCATATATGGACTTATACTTGCTCTTCGAGCTCTCCAAATCCCACTGAAGATACTTATGTCATGGAGGATTATTCTACATATTAATTTATTAAGTCATGGAGGATAATTTTATTTACTATTCTGCTTAGTCTGATTTCTGCTGAGCACATTGAAGATATATATGTTAAATATTTTATTGTCACCAGAAAGTATTAGCAGTATTGACTTTGATGAAATTGCTTAAACTGAGAACCAGTTTAAGACTACTTTTAAAAATATGTACTATTTCATTCAGTAATTCTATTTTTTGGCTGCTATCATCTAGAAGCACATGGAAATACATGTTCATTTGTACTATGGAAACAAGTTAAGTTTTAAGAAATCATCTTTAAGACAGAAAAATCTAAAGAAAATACCTTTGAATAATTCATCCAAATATAGTAATTGTATATACCGCTTCTTTTTGACTCTAATTATGATCTTAAACATGGATGGCTCAGTAGAACGGTTAAATTTCATCAACTACCCAAATAACTATTTACAGTAAGTAGCTCAAAAATATGAAAATGGTATGCTGTAGAGAATATTGGAAATAACTTTTTGAAGAATCAGGTTTATAGTTGGTAAATTTGAGCTAAAGTTATTAGTGTTGCTATTGAGTGATGCTTATGATATTTAAAATTTTTGTCAGTGCTTCCATAGTAATAGCTTGAATTAATCATACTAAGAAATGCCAAGAATGTCTGCTGTATCTATGATGGCATACTGTGTGTAAAAACAGAGATTTAATTTTGGCTGGTATGGTTGCAGGTAAGTTTGACAACCCCCTCAATATCTTTTGAGACTGGAACATCAATTCTTCAAATTTTGTCTGAGCCCTGGAGCCCTCTGTTATTAATAAACAAGTACAAAAGATCACAACCTGCTCAGGCTGAGATATTTTAAAGTCTAAAATAGTTTTTTTCTACAATATGAAGAATTATGTGTTAAATGAAATCAGTCCATGTACAGCATATTTAACAGACCAGATTTTTGCTCAGTTTCTAAAACAAAAGTTGTCACCCATAAACAAAAGCATGTGATGTGTCCTCAAACAGCTCATTCAACGTCCTTATTACAATTCTACTCACTTAGCTTATATTCAGTTCAATAAACATTTGAGTGACTATTTTATGCCAGGCATCAGAAACGCTTTCAACGAATTTAGAGTCTAGGGAAGAAGACTGAAAACAAAAAGGGAAATTTCAATAGTGAAAAGTGCTAAGTTAGAGGTTTGCTAGGTCTAGGTTAGAACCCAGAAAAGTGCTAAGTTAGAGGGTAGCTAGCTCTAGGTTAGAACCTAGAGGACTGAAATTTAGCCTCTGGTTTATATTCTGTAAAAGAGTAGGCTCTGAAATCTAGACTACCAATGAGGGAAAAAGGTAAATAAACTTATATTTAAGCATCCATTTTTCAAGATGGATTGAATGTTAGAAAAAAAATCTGAATTTCATTCACATTAAGGCTGAAAATTTTTTAAACACACATGAGAAAAGTTGTCTTGTAATTTTGTGACTTTATATTTTTGTGGATAAATATATTAAAGATGAATACATTATGTAATAACTGCTCATAAAAAGATGCTTTAAAAATAAAGATAAGAAGTGTTTATATATAACAAAGGAAGGGACAACACAGAAATAAGAAATTTTTTTCTACAGTTTCAATCAGCTATATTTATTTCAACTTGAAATTTAGATGGTCTTTTTCACGGGTTTAATAAAAATATAAACTAATGTAAATTCTTTATATCTTTAATAATGTCCAAAGTTAGCATTCTTTTTGTTGCATAAAACTTGCAGGTAAATAATGCTGCTTGTATTCTTTTAAGAATTTATACATAAATTAGAATAGATAACAGAAGATGTAGTGATTTAGGATAAAATAATGTGTTTTAAGGACACTGGAGAAAAGTACCTTAAACATTAATTAAAAATGTGTTTCTTTCTAGGCTGGGTGCAGTGGCTCAGGCCTGTAATCCCAGCACTTGGGGAGTCCGAGGTGAGCAGACAGCGAGGTCAGGAAATCGAGACCATCCTGGCTAACAAGGTGGAACCCCGTCTCTACTAAAAATACAAAAAGTAGCCAGGTGTGGTGGCGGGCGCCTGTAGTCCCAGCTACTCGGGAGGCTGAGGCAGGAGAATGGAGTGAACCCGGGAGGCGGAGCTTGCAGTGAGCCGAGATTGTGCCAATGCACTCCAGCCTGGGTGACAGAGTGAGACTCCTTCTCGAAAAAAAAAAACAAAAAAAAAGTGTTTCTTTCTTAAATGAATGAAGAAAGAAAACTTCGGAGGATTACAATAACAAATAGAGTCTATGATGTTGGAAGTTAGAAAAAGTTATTAAGGAAATAACGTAGAATATTATTTTTCTACCTCATTAAATATATTCCACTATTCATGATAATAATTAGAAATATTTAATGTCAACAAACATATCTACACTCTTATTTATATCTTCTACAAGTGCTTTTCAAAAATGGCTAAGTAAGTAAGAGTGAACACTAAAACCATAAGCTCAAGAGGGAAATGGGAAATAGGCTAAAAGGCATTAACTTTTTGGACACATAGTGCCCTGGCTTCCACACTGTTTTGGAGTCTTCCAAGATGTGCAGCTAATATTGTTAGATGTAAGGTTTTAAATATAACTCCACTTTTTAACAAGACCATTTGTAAAAAATGTTAATTATCCCTCTTCCCATCATGTTGTTTGTGTGATTTTTAATAGATTCTAAAGGTATTTATTGAGAAACATAGCTCAATCTAATATGACACTTCTATGAATATATATGACTGCATGACCCCTTAGAGTAGTTCAGTACTTTATTCTTTAAATTTAAATTTTCAATATAGTAACATACTGCTTTTTAGCACTTATTGTTAATAGACATGTCCTCTGAGAAACAGTAGAAAAAGTGTAAACAAACAACCCTTACAATATCATTTAGCATGATTAACTTTTTAATTTTTAGATTTAATAGCACCTTTATAAAGTATTTGCAATAATTACTTAAAAACTTAATTTTTCTTGGGAATTACTGAGATATTACACATTCTATTGAACAATATGACATTATATATTGTAAAATCTATTTGATTTTGATATACTGAAAAGAAATACAAGAAAGTTCCAATTAAACCATAATGAAAGCCTGTAACATCATCTGTTAAAATCTTGATTCCAAAGCTGGTTTTAAGAGAAGTTAATTCTAGATTTGATGAAACACAGCCATAATCAAAGCAATTATATCTACTTAAATACATGGCAGAGATTGGTTAATTTCCTCTTCTTTCTGTATTACATTTCCTGCTTGTCATTGCAATTGGTTATAGTCATGTGACTGAGTTCCTGACTGAGGGCAGCAGTAGTAATATATTACATTTAAGGGTCTAGTTCCAAACATCTCCCCTATGCAATCAATCATCCATGTTCTTTCCCTTCTGCCTGCTGAATGTGAACACTCAGGAAAGCTTGGAAGTCATGTGTGGAAGACTGTAAAAAACTGGAACTCCATATGACAGCATGAAACAGAACACTCTGTCCCCAGCCACCCGGAAGAGCAGTATGGGATTGCTGCTTGAAAGAGAACACACTTTTCATTGAGTTAACTTACTGGATTTAGGGAACCATTTACTGCAATAGTTATCATCCTAGTTAATATAATTTTCTATATAATATAATTATTCCTTATGTTTGCACCCTGTGGACATAAAGCACCTTACTAGTATAATACACATTCTGAAAATGTAAGATTCAATCTTAAGAGTGAAAAGCAGGGGCTGTTCAGCTCCTTCTCAAAGTGCTAATGAACAAATAACAGAATTGGAGAAATGTCAAGAAATGCCTATCAATAGCTATTGCATGCAAAATAAGGCACTAGTTGCTGCAAGAGTACAAACTATATCTAGGCAAATGCAAAGCCCAATTGCAATTATAATGTAGCCTACTTAAAAGTATGCACAAAATGATTAAGAAACTAGAGCAACAAACAAAAGACCTTAAGCCATTATAGCTAGAGAGAATATTTGTCAGAGTGTTATATAAAGAATTACAGAGAAATACCTATTAAAGTTAGAGAAGGAAATAGAGTGAAAGAGAGAGAGACTGGGAGAAATCACATTCTGGGAGAAATAGAGACTTCACATTCTCTTGTTATATTTTGTGAATTATAAATATATGTAACTTTGCTTAATCTATATAATATGCTCATAAATTTATTCTTCTATGAAGTACAATATTAATATCTTATAGGACATGTAGACTTCATTGAGCAGTTTGCTGCCATTGAGAAAAATAATTAAAATATTTTTAATGAATAGAAAGAGCATTTACAATGTATTACAAATACCTTCCCACCACTACCACAGAGATGGACAGGCATTCCTCAATAGCTTAGTGGTCAATTTTGGGCAGTTTGAAATACAAAGGTTAATCTCATTAGATTTCTTGAAATTAAAAACTGTGGGAATAATGAGAGAGATGTTATCAGTGAAGTTTAGGGAATACATAAAACATTGAAACTCAAGAGTTTCTGCAATTTGTGTTTCAAAAAATCTGATGTGACCTATCATATATCTATGTAATATATGGATATCAGCCACTCTATGCTAAGTTATACTATGGTAACAAACAACCCCTTAATTTCAAACACTCAAAACTACAAAGGTTTGTTTCTGGTTCACACCATGACACACCTCTTCCTTTCGCCAATCCCTGCCTCAGTTGGCTGCATTTTTAGTTCTGAATCATCATTGTCTTCCCCAGGGAAGAAGCTATTCTCTGGAACTGTGGCAGAAGGAGAGTGTGGCAATTCAGAAGATGGTTCTTAAAGCTTCACTGGGAAGTGATACACGTATCAGTTTTACTCATATTTCATCAGCCTGAACTTGTTACATGTCCCTACCCAATCACAGGACGCCAAAAAGTAGAATACTACCTGTCACATGCGCGAAAAGATGAAAATGTTTACTTTGCAACATTAATAACAACTGCGTGAATCAACATAGGTCACAAAATGGGATGAATGTGGCATATGTACTAGACTACTTAAGGAGAATTTTGACAGGAATGGAAGCAGAGATATTTCCTTTATACTACATTGTCAGGATTTTTACCAATTTCTTCGTGTTGATTATAAGAGTATTGGAATTACAGCCATTAAAAAGTCATCTAGTTAGAGCTGTAAATTAATGATCGATAATACAAATAGACATACAAAAATACATATTTCAACTGCCGATTTAATTACAGACAAGTTATTAAAGGGTATGGTTTTGATCACTTTTAATTTAATCCTTTTTGTTTTAACTGATAAAGTTGCAAGGGGAAGTTGCTGACTTCAGTTGTCTAGATGCTATGGCATCCCTGGTCAGTTTCAGCCAAGGCTCTGGATTTCAAAGTCAGTAAATTATAATAACTGAATAAGGCAGGAACAGTTTCTGCTATGATTTTGTGTAAATTCCATTTAACAGTGCAAAATATGCTAGTGTCAAATGCATTTAAATTATACAAAGATACCCAGTAGAGTATGTTGCTTAAGAACGTTTATCCTGGAGTAATTCTGGCTGAGAACAAACTTAAGTGCCATTATTTATTACTTGTATTATCTAGATAAAGCTGAGGTTAAGGTTTATAATAGTACCACTTAAGAGAGTTGTTGTTAGGATTAAATGAAGCAAATCATGTAAAACGTTAGCACAGTACTTGGCACATTGCAAGAACGTGAATGCCAACAAGAGCAACAAAAGTAACTAATGTCTGGAATTTGGTGTTACCGCTCCAGACTGCAGACTTTACTCATCTGTTCTTCAACAATGCTGAATTACTGCTATTGCTATCCAGAAAGGCAAGGCGGTGTGTACTCAAGGTTGGTAAAAAGCAAGAGAAAAGATCTCACTTGTGGCACCTTTTGAAAAGCTACCTGCAGGAGCCCAACACTGTTTTTTTCTAAATGGTATGGCTTTCCTCCACATCCCTTTCCTCTTTCTGAATAAAGTTTCTCCATCCGCACTTGAAAATTCAGGAATCATCTCTGAACTAGTCCATGTGAATATATATATATATGTATATATATATATATATATACATATATATATATATATATATATATATATATATATATATATATATACACATACATATATATATATGTGTCTGGTGTGTAGGCTGACTGCCTAACAGCCTGGCTAGCTCTTCTTAAATGTGTGTTTTTTCTTCCATTCTTAGTAGTTTATCCCCATGTTCCAGAAAGAAAAACATAACACAGAGAGGCTAGTTGGGTGATTTGACAGGTGATAGCAGAGCATGGTCTGAAATGATTGCAAAATTATTTGTGAAGTCCCATTTGATCACATAATTTCATTCTGGACAAATGAAAGATTCATATTAATAACCATGTGAGAAAATTGGCCACTTCTGCACTTCTATCAGTCATTCATGCTAAAATCCCTATGTCTGGACTCCGTGGAGAACAAGAGTTGGACACATATTATGGGTAATCTGAAACAGCCCCATCTCCCCAGCTTCTTGCCATGCCCCCTCAATCTCCAGCACTTGTTAGCTCCTTGAAAGTTTGAACTTCTTTACTCAAAATAGAGCAGCACTTCTCATCATATAACATTTATTGATTATCACCTCTTCCTCCCTGAGCTGCTTCAGGACCTCCAGTGTTTAATACTGTTGCTCTCATTCTTACAGCTGACGACCTTGTTGTGTTGGACTTATTTGAGAATGTTTCAACTTGTCCATTCTGTTCCTCTCTAGTTGAGAAACATGTTTTTCAAACTGCAATATGATACACACATATTTGTTGTTATTTATTAATAATGTTTACTCTAAATTATGACAGTATTTTTATGTGTCTCATTTTCATTCTTTGAAGGATCTAGAAATTCAGATATTTCTGCCTCAGAAAACAAGGCATGTAATGATCTTATGCTCTACAAAAGACAAGATAATTAGAGGTGAAAGTGGAGAAGAATCTAAGAAGTCTACCAATATACCATGTAGTCTTTGGCACATAAAAGTATCATCCTTAAAGATTTAGTAATAAAGACAATTTGTATACAAATTATCTCCTGCCACACACTATACCTTTAGATTTTCATTCAGGATGTCTGAATAGAAAATTCCTTTGATGATATCTTTATATGAAAAACATTCCCATCTAATTTAATGCACTTTCTATAATCTGAATTTGAGAATTTAAGCATAAGTTAGACTTAAAAAATTAAAGAATAAAGTTACATGAGTGGGCTCATATTGGTGATTTGGAATCTTGCAAATTAGATTTCCTTTCTGTTATTGCTCATGATCAATGTGCCTCAATATCCCTTTTAGTAAAATTCTGTTTAAAAGATATTTTTGATCCTCTGTTTCATGTTTAAATTAAATTCATTAGCAGCTGTCAACCTCCAAGGAAAAATGTCAACACTAATCTAGACAACATCTGAAGGTGTCAGCTTTCCTTCATTTATCTCCTGTCCCCAGAAGGTCCGGAGCCATCAAATGAAAAACTCCAGGTAATGACTGCATTTGTCATTTGTTAAATGTGATTAGAATGCAGCTGCACAGGCATGAATGTTGTTTCAAGCTGCCAATGATACCTGCCTTTACTTTTTTAAAGAAATAAAATAATAAATATTACAAGCCTTATCATTACTGTAGGTCTGTACATGACAGTTCACTTAGTTTGTTTTTGTACATCACGATACTGTGTTTATTTGTTTCCTTGCATCTGTCACAGGAGGCACATTCCTTTATCACCTACTACTCCTTTTTAGCTTTTCCAATTCACAAACTAGGTCATGTAAGTAATCAATAATTTTAATTCCGTTTTCTTCAGCTTATAAGAGAAAACTTAGTAAAGTATTAAATGTCTCTGTGCATAAATTCATCCATATCTTTGAGAATAGGAGTATTGCTTAACTTTGAAGCTTTATTAGAGGATTTTTAAAATGATGTAACTGAAGTGACACCTTTAAAAACAGAGGGTTTAGGAATTTTTCCATTTTAATTATTAATGTTACCAGAATGTGATGTGGCTTATTATATATGTATAACAAGGTTATCAATTTATATTTTCAAGATATTTTCAGAAGAAAAGAAAATTAATCAAAAGCCAATAAATATTTTCAGTATAATTTCATGAATTAATGCTGTTTTTAAAATTTTGGACAGCAGAGCAAAATGCTGTGTTTTTATATATATCAAGTGGCAATGATAGAAAAGCTGAAAGAAAGGTGATATGTGTTTATTAAATTTCAATTAGTATTCACTTACTAAGTTTGTACAATAATAACAGTCATTGAATTTCAGAGCAAAAGGAAGTATTTGAAATTATTTTGCTTATTGTTTTTGATGTACACATGATTCTATTCAGGCCTTGAAAGTTTAAATTATTTGGTTCAAATCCATTAGCTAATTTTAGCAAAATCTAAACTAAAATTCAGACATTCTCCCAGTAGTCTAGTATTATTTGTCCAGTATTATTTCCTATCAGCTTTTGTATTACTGCTGCTATTTCTATTATTTTTGATAGATGTAGCTAATATCACTGAATGTTAGCAAAATACTAGACCCTTTGCTAAGCACTTTACATGGATCCCCAGACTGAGGTAACTTCTATTATTACTCTTATTTTCAGATTGGGAAACTGAGCCTCAAAGTTATCAAGTAACTTTTTCAGTCATTTGGATAAGTGGCAGAATATTCCCCCATTTAAAATGGCTTTTTCATGGTATCTAATGTTCTTGTTTTAGTAATTTGGTAACATGCAGAGAGCTGCAGTGGCTATATCAAACTGTACAAATGAAAAGGCCAAGTTTTCAAGAAGATGACTTATCTAAAATTATCAGTTTAATAAACTGAAAATACTTGAGTTCTCCCAAAGTCTCCGGCACCTGGCCCCTTGCTATTTGCGTTATATCACATTATGGTGTTTTAAGTTTATTAGATGTTATGAGATAAGAATAAGTTGTCACGTTCTTAATGTGCTAATGCTGTGGCACAGAGCTAATTAACTTCTAAATGTCAGTTAAATTCTAATAACTTAAAAATATTGGTTTAAGAAGAAATTAAAGGTAAATATTTATTCAAAACAATGTACAATAGAAACATTTAAACAATATACGTAAGATGAAAAGATAGGTAAACCTTGTTCAAATGAAGAACAGATCTGAGCTGTTATTTTAAAATCTCCAGAGATGTATTTCTTTTGATATTTGTGATAAAACAATCAATTCTTACCACAGAAAATGCAGCTTGTTCAGGCACAATGGCTCATGCCTATAATCCTAGCATTTTGGGAGGCTGAGGTGTGAGAATTGCTTAAGGTCAGGAGTTTAAAAAAATCCAGCTAAACTCACAATAAAATGTTAATGATTTTTTTAAATTATGCAAAAAAAATTATAGGGATTGGCTCAAAGTGCTTTTTTACGGTCTTAAATAAAACTCAAAGAAGTTGTGAAACATTTCTGAGTAAAAATTAGCATGACATTATCTAATCATAAAATATTAAAACAAGGAGAGGCTTTGTTTTAGTTGATAAAACAAAAACTCAGAAGATTTATTATCTTAGTCCAAGGTGCATAAGAAAAATAGCAGAATGCAGGTTAGAATAGAATTTTGATCAGAGTTCTTTAAATGACATTTCGTTCTATTTTCTGTAAAAAAGTAGATGCATAGATATAATTAAAATTAAGAGTCTCACAAAACAAAATGATAGTCATTAAACCTTTTAAATTAGATTGTTCATATTTAAATTTTCTTCAGATTCACAAGATCTATTTTTTTAATAGAAAATGTTTATGAATTAGGTCATAAAATGTGAAATTGGTCCACAGATTTATTTGCTTTTTCTAAAGATCAGAATACTATAGATTCAGCATAATACCTAATAGACCAGTAAAAATCCAAGCAAGCTCATTTTTTTGTAAACATTGGCAAACTGATTCTAAAACCCATATGGAAATTCAGAGGATCTAGGACAGTAAAAATGATTTTGAAAGGAAAAACACAGGTAGAGGAATTAGACTATCTGATTTCAAAACATAATATAAAACTATAAAAGCAGGACAATGGGGATATTGGCTACGGATGGGCCTGTAGATCCATGAAACAGAATTGAGATTTCAGAAATGAATTCTTACATTTGAGGTCATTTTTTTTTAACAAAGATGCCAAAAATCCTCAATGCAGAGAAAGTCGGCTTTTATACCAACTAGTGCTTGAAGAATTGAAGCTGCATATGCACACATTTCACATCGACATTTACTTCACTCCTTACAGAAAAACAAAGTAAAACTGATTTGTAGACCTAAATTTAAGAGCTGAAACTATGAAACTACTACCAAAAACATAGAAAAGACAATTTTTGTCACTTTGGGTTATGCAAACAGTCCTTGCATACAACAATAAAGGCATAATCTACAGAAGAAAAACTTGATAAATAACACTTTTTCAAAAGTCAAACTTTAAAAAGACTTTTTTAAAAAAAATGAAAATGAAAACAATGAGAAATAATTTCAACTTATATATAAAATGCATTTAAAAAATCTCTTAAAACTCAATAATAAGAAAATAAATGGGTACTTTAAAAATAGATGAAAGATAGACATTTCATCAAAGAAGACACATGAATGGCTACTAAGCACATGAAAAGGTGCACAACATCGTTAGTCATTAGTAAAATGAAGATTCAAACCACAGTAAAATATCACTACATACTGACTTGAATGACTATAATCAAGAGGCAGAAAATGGCAGGTGTTGGTGAGGATGAAGAAATCGTAGAACGAATTTGGAAAAACAGTTTGATCGCTTCTTCAAAAGTTAAATATGAATACTCACATGACACAGCAATTCCACTCCTAGGAATGTACCATGATAAATGAAGAACACATCCATGCAAAGATCTGTAAATGAATGTTCATAGCAGTGTTAGTATCATAGCCAAAAATGGAAACAATCTAAATGTCTACCACCTGCTGAAAGAATAAGCAGATGTGATATGTCTATACAATGGTATGCTACCCAACAATAAAAAAGAACAAAAGACCAAAAAATGCTACATCATGGATAAGCCTCAAAAACATTATGCTAAATAAAAGAAGTGAGTTGCAAAAGACTATGTAATGTATGATTGCTTTCATATGAAATGGACAGTAAAGGCAAATTTATAGGGGTAAAGAATGAATCAGAAATTTCCCTGAGGCTGGGAATAAAAAAAAATGGATTGATGGCAAACAGGCTCAAGGGAAGTTTTTGGAAAGATGACAATGTTCTAAAATTGAATTGTAGGGATACATGCACAATACTATATATTAACTAAAAGTCATTGAATAGTATACTTACAATGAATAGATTTTATGATGTGTATATTGTATCTCAATAAAGTAAAATGTCAGTTAAATTTCTAATTAAAATTATAATGTTCATAAAGAAAGAAAATTATGCAAATAAGAACTTCATTTATTCTGAAGTGATGATTTATATCAGTATGTTTTTATCTGGGGGTGTAGGCAGTGTTTTTAAGCAAGGGCGATGATGAGAGGGGAATAGTATTAGATGATGACACTGACATTGTAATGAATTGTAAAATGCTTTTTCTAACTTTCCCCTTGTATACCTGTGCACATTGTCATCTACACATTCTTGTTACATAAGAAGACAAGTACAGGTCAAGGGATGTCACTTTATATTTTTAAACAGGAGTTCCAAGAAGGGTAACCTTTGCACAGACATTTGAACTTGTTCTTGCCAAATAAGTCAATCAAGATAAGATTATTATTTTAGTAGATGTATATCAGTATATTTAAAGAAAAGAAAAGCTGTTGCAATGCCATACTAATAATTCAGTTTTTAAAAATTTACTGACATGTAAAGGTTTATGCTCATTTGACATTTTCGTTATTGTACAATGACTCACAGAATGTTTGATATACACATTATTAACTCTATATACTAGAGAAAAGATAATTTAAAATATCATAGACATGAAGTCTAAGACTTTAAATATTAAATACCATATTGTATGGAAATAAAATAGAAAAATAACATTTGCTTTGCCTCTAAACTATTTTAACAAAATTACTTTAGATTAAAATTCCATTGTTTAAAAAACTAGGAAAGAGAATTTAAAAGGATACAGTCTAAAATTAATGCAATAAAAATAGAAATACAGCCATGTGCCACAAAATGACATTTTGGTCAATGACAGATCAATATTATAACAGTGGTCCCACAAGACAATGATGCCATATTTTTACTGTACCTTTTATATGTTTAGATACACAAATACTTACCATTGTGTTACTGTTGCCTACATTATTCAGTTCAGTATCATGCTGTACATGTTTCTAGCCTAACAGCAATAAGCTGTACCATACAGCAACATATGCAGTGGGCTATACCATCTAGATTTATGTAAGTATACTCACTGATGTTTGCACAATGATGAAATCACTTAAGGATGCATTTCTCAGAACATATTCCTGTCATTAAGTAACATATGACTGTATACTAAAAAGAAAAATAAGTTCTAAAACCTTGTTCTTCACAAACACTGGTAAGACAGATACAGAAAGTCATATCTGAGATCCGATAACAGCAACAGAGAGAAAAAATACATACAAAATAAAAAATACCTAAACATAGATAAACTTTAAAAAGTTAAGAGACTAATGCATGCCGCTATTGCAATGAATCTAAAACACAAGAAAAACATATGACTTTGTAGCAAAGTAGAAATTACCAAAGTTGAACAAATAGAAAGTGAAACACTTCAAGATAGCAATTACTAAAGAAGGCATGAGGAATAAGTAAAAGCACTATCACTGGGAAAAAAAGGCATTAAGACCAAAGGTCTTACAAATCCAGGATCTTTAAAAATACAGATAATTCAAATGTATTGAATCTTTCCCAGGCTTGATAAAAAGATGGAGAGCTTCTCATTTTATTTTATTATAACATAAATATGATTTTCATAATAAAACATGACATACTATACCAAGAAGGCAATGATAGTCCAATATTACTAATGAATATGTATGTAAGACTCAGATTTTTGTAAACCATGTTTAAAGTTGTGAAGTAGCACAAATGTTTTCACATCAAAAGAAGTGATAATTAAGAACAGAAAAGATTGGTTATCCAATCTAGTCTGAGATAAGCCCTAAAACAAAGAGCATTCATTAATGACTATTAATTTGTACTTTTCAGTTTCCAAGTAAAGGAAATATTTCATAGCATTAGGATAAAGTACGATCAGCAAAAAAAAAAAAAAAAATTAAGATAAAAATCTGTGGCATCCTAATAATGCAATCATCTTAAACATAATTAGTCTAGCCCTCAGGAACTCAGGTACTGAAAACTTTTTGGCAAAAAATATCTCTGATAAGGTGTTGATTTTCTCTTACTCAGTTGAGATCAGACATGATTAGGCAAAGTGTCTCTGAGCCACCTTAACTGTTTCTTTCTTCCTTTAAACACCCATGATCTCCTTTAACCTCATTTTCTCCATCAAACCTAGAACTCACATACTCTCAGTCAATTATGCATTTACCAAAAGCACAGTAACCAATACCTGGCTCTTTATCTAAGGTTATTTGCATTCTAGTTTTTTATGTCTTGAGTACCTCTTCAATGGTATGGAATGAACAACTATGTCTATTGAGATAAGAATATGTTCAAATACCAGGAAGCCAGAAAGGAGAGAATTGCCTGAGGGAAGTTTTCCATTTTCTTCTTAAAAAAATCTCTAAATTACACTTCCCAGTTAAGATCAAACTTGTAGTTACAACGTCTTTAGTACCTTTCATGTGGTTTAGTGTTTGGGGTATAGAAGAAGAGGAGAAAAGGCAATAAAAATGAAGATTGATTTTAATACCCTCCTATTTTTCTAAGTAGGAAAAGTAGCCAAACCTGTTTTGGAATGTAGAGTCCTTTTGTCAGTAAAGAGAAAGAGCAAATCTAGGGCCTTAAATCTCTGTTTTTCAGTCTACCCATAGTCCATGTGAGAGACACTGGGAATACAGATATAAGATATCGGTTCTTGTGGAATTACAGTAAATTTAAACTATTAAATTTGCACTTGTGGAATTTACAGTCCAGTAAAGGAGATAGACATTTAAATATAAGTGGTAGTCATTTTCATAGAAGCATAAACTCAAAATGCTATGAGAAGACAAAAGAAGGGTGCTACGTATCACGTTTGTACGTGAAGAAAGGGAAAAAGTTTTGGAGGAGAATATAGTTGAGTTGAACCTTGGAGGAAGGGGAGGATTTAGGTCTGCGGAGAGGATGTATTACAACATGGACAAAGGCACATGTCCAAAGAGGATGTCAAACAGCATCTGACTGAAGACTGGCCCTGCTCTCTTGTTCTGTGCCTTGAGTTACTTACTGTGACATACATAGAATCCTTGCTTTTAAAGAATGTGGTTCTGTACTGTGTGGTTTTATTCCATTAGCATAAAATTCAGGCCAGAACAGCAGTGGTGTGTGTAGGGAAGGTTGCCTGTTCACGTAAAGATGCCTTCTGCTTTAGAGGGTATATGCTTTTAAAAGGATTTGGAAATAGTCCAATTTTTTTTTTCGCTGACTCTGTTGTCTGCATAGTGAATTAGAGAAGACAGTGCTGGTCCTGCTAGATTTTATCTTAATCTTCACATAGATCCTTTTATTACTTAATGTTCTTCAGCAATGGACCAGAAAGAGATGCCAGAGTGTCTGTTTTTTTCCTTGCTTTGCCTTTTTTTGGAGTGCTTATATGTGCAATAGATTTACAAACAGCAGGTTTTAATCTATCTCTTTGAAACAATGACTTTAAAATGAACTGTGCTTTGTGCTTTTAATTTAGATGTACTACCTGTCAGAGTGACCTAATATTTATGTTTTTGTGTGCGTATGTATATGCATATTAAGTTGGTGCAAAAGTAATTGCAGGTTTTGCCATTAAAAGTAATGGCAAAGACTGCAATTACTTTTGCACCAACCTAATATTTACAACTAAATATATATGTTTATGTATGTATAAATGTATATAATGTATATAATATACATGTTTATAAATGTATGTAATATAAATATATATTTAAATTAGCAGAAAATTAGCATTATATCTATTTATGATTGACAAACCTCCGCAGGTGTGATCTCAAAAGCCTCTTTTTATTTCTCAGCTTTGATAAGAATTCATATTATAAAAGGGGTCGCCTCAGGGGTGCTAGGTAAAGGTGGCTGTACCCGCTAAATATATATAAAATACGAACCTGATTTACAGGTGGAGAACTGCAGGAGCGTTCTATAGAGTTAAAGTTTGAGTTTTAGATACGGGTTAAATATGAAGGTCTGTTCCAGGCTTTTGTGTTTTAAAAGAAACCCTTGCCATCTCAAATATCTGTCAATAAATCATTGCAACTGGAAACTGAGCCACCAAATTTAATTTGAAATAAACTTCTGATGATTTAACAATTTGCCTATATAGAATAATGATAATATACTAAGCTCTGCCTTAAATAACGGGTAAATGCTTGTGCCTTTTTTGTACTTTTTTTCCCCAAGTGGGCTGTATATTTTTACACAAATTTTCCTCTTTTTAAAATGTCAGCACATAGCTACGGGATAGATTGTGGCCTTTAGTAACCTACTGGGTTCTTTAGGGTTTGCTTCATATAATTTCTTCTTTTCCCTTTTGTACTTTACATACTTAACACTCACATGCTAATATTAGCACTAATGCCTGAGGCCTAAATAGCAATAATTGCGGGATGACATACTGGCTTCTATTTAAGTTGACAACTCAATAACTTGACATATGCATTACATCTCTATTACACTGGAGTCTAAATGACACTTTATAAAGCATTTCTTTTATATTTAGTTCACTGACTGATCAGACTGGAGCTTGTGCTCATCATGTGTCTGTTAAAGACTAGTGAATGTGTCATTATTTCTAAGTCCTTGCCAGTGATAGATAATGCAATCACAGAAAGCTGTATTTACATAGAAATGTTCTGGTTGTGATAATATTATCGTGTTTTTTGGACAAGTAAGAGTCAAAGATTTTTTTTAGTTTTTTCATATACATACTAGAAAAAGTCTTTCTAAGTATAAAATGCCAAACTTAAGAAGTCAACCTGAGATATAAAGTATAACTTTTGTAAGTCCATTTTATTTTTTAAAACAAAAAATAAAAGATGTTCAATAAACAAATCTACATTACAAATTACTAATTTTGGGTTTTAACCATTTTGTTATGGAAGTATTTCAGTTGGCAACATGTAAAGCATAATAATTATAAAATACCTCTATTGTTGGTCTCAAAATCTCACACAATCTGGAATGTTTCGATTCATCTTAAGGTATAATATAAATAGTGTGTAAAATATGAACGCTTTTTCTTCCCTTCCATTCTTTATTCTCCTTCCCCTCCTCCCTGTTTGCTCTCCCCTTTCTTCTTCTCCTGTGTCAGCTCTACCCTCTCCTGTACATAACTCTCTTCTTTTCTCTTCCAAGAGACATTAGTCAGTGATAGTAATGATGGCAGGCATAGGGGTTTATGCAGAGTGAGAAGTGAATATGGCCAGAGGTGGCCAGTAATAGTAGCCACTGTGATTGCCTGTCAAGAGATTTGTTGAAGGCAGCCTGGCAGTTTGGGGAGATTAGCCAGCCACACATAGGGGATTTAGCAAATATGTAAATATGTAAAGAATAGTAAGAGCCAAGTTTCTCCCTCACAGAATAAAGGTACAAATGTTGGAGAGCTTTGACATTAAAAGACTCTATTAATAATGAACACACACAGTGGGTTCATTTGACTTCTCAACTTTTAAATTCCACTCTCCAGAAAAGAGGACTGGAGACGAGAAATAGCTGATTTCAGAGCAGGACCAGAAAAAGTATAATATGCATCAGGAACATCTTGTTGTCCCAATAAGGAATCTCTCAAAGAAAAATGGGAGTATAATAAAGAATTCAGAAGCCAGTTTTGTGTGGGGAGGTCCCAGTGGCCAAATAGATGATGATCTAACCATCTAATTAGATAATGATACTAACAGTCTATAGCCCATTGAATACAAGAGGAATCAATGAGTCCACACTGGTAATTTAGGTAAAAATATTTTTACCAGTTAAATATATCTGAAAGAGAACCTGATTCACAGCTAGAGACTGCAGGATAAAAAAAAGTGAATGGATAAATAAATCAGAAGTGATACATGTAGAAATAATTTTTTTTAAATCACAATGTGACATCCTAGCCATAATTAATTCACACAAGTTACATTAATAACTGCTAAAACTAGAGTGTGACAGTGGGATGAGGAATTGCATATTTACATAGCTTCAAGTTGCCTCTGCCAAAAATACTCATTCATTATGAAGAAAAAATACAGAAACGTGGCTGTCTCCAACTTAAATATGTGAACAAAGTTAACACAAGGATTAGGCAAAAAAAATTATGTGTTACCTGGTAGGATGCAATAAAAACACATATGCACAGTATCATTTCTGTGATATTCCTGCCCCAAATGTATAACCTGGGTCTACTCATGAGGAAACATCACAGAAACCCAAATGGAAAAATAGTCTACAAAATGACAGCCTTGTAATCTTGAAAAATATGAAGGTCATTAGATGAAGTAAAGATTGAGGAAGGTTCTAAAATGAAGAAATTTAGAACAATATGACGACTGGGTACACGTATGATTCTAGATTGGTTACCATTATAAAGAATATGAAAGAGTTGAAACTTTAAAAAGGTTTATGGGTACCTGCAGGAGTGTGTTGAACTTTTCTTGCACTATTCCTGCTACTTTTCAATAGGTTTGAAATGATTTCAAAACCTAATTAACACTTTTGAAGTGAAAAGGATATATTTATTTGCATTTCTAAATGCTTTTTAAAAACAATAACTTTATTGAAGTATAATTAATATATAAAAACTGCAAATATTCAATGAGTTTAGATATATGCATATATCCATGAAACCATCACCACAATCAAGGAGGTAAACATATCTGTCACCTTTAACAGTTTCCTCCTGCCCCCTCCTTTATTTGCTAAGAACAATTCACATGATATCTACACTTTTAACACATTTTTAAATGCAAAATACCGTATTCTTAAATATAAACACTTTTTTGAGAAGTCTTTTTTTTGTTTTTCTTTAGCCTATTTTATTTGCTTGACATGCAATTTGTGTTTTGCCTAATTTCCAGCATATGCTCACATAAAAACTTCCCATGACATAGTAATAGAGATATAAGATCAGCAACTATGGGAGGAGTGCTTTTGAACTTCCCTTTTATTTCCTTTGACCTGGACACCTGCATCCGGGATGGTATCATGCTAAGTTCGTCATGACAGTTTAATAGGAAATGGCAATCTTATCAAACTTCCTGGAACTCTCTTTCCCAAGGAAAACATGGACAAACCCCAGTTAAGCAAAGTTTCTCTTCAGAGTGCTTCTTTCAGTGTCCTCCAAAAGTGAATTTGTTAACAGATAACCTAAAGGGATGTTAGTTTCATGGCAGAAGGCAACAGCATATCCATATTTATTAACTGCCCTTCAAACACAGTGGCAATTTCACATGAGACTATGCCCTTATAAACAACATAATATAATGTCTAACGCTTCACATAAGACATGTCATTAACTGTAGAGCTATCTATCATGTGGCTTGCCTCATTGTATTCATTTATTTCTTTTTTTTAATTTTTTGCTGATGCCAAATGAACACAGAATTTCCCACAAGGAAATAAATGGAACATCACAAAGCATAAATGCACAAGGCAGTTCATGTGCCTCATAGAAAGTAAGAAGAAAGCTGGATCAGGTCAAGGAGAAAAACAAGGCTGAAGGGCACAGTGGAGCTGAATATTGGAAAAAGGCTGATGGCAATTTGGAAGTGTGTATGAATGAATGACCAAAGCACATCAGACGACACACTTAGCTATTCTGACAGTCTAAAACTGACCATTAAAACAGCCAAAAAAAAAAAGGTGAAAATTACCAAAATGAATCTAAATGACAGGTGTCAAAAGATTGTCAGTGTTTCCTAAAAGGTCTGTGGAAATATGTTTTCATTATGTTAAATTCACATCAATTTCACATATATCTGAGTACCTACTACTTCCAAAACAACGTTGGAGATAATGAAGGGAATACAAGAATGAATATGGTATAATCTCTGACATCAGAAAGCTGAAAGTCTATGAGATGGCATTACCATAGTCTGGAGTACAACATGGTGTATTGAGTTAGCGCTGCCAATTTTTGGAACCAAATGTCTCTGAAAGGACAATGCAGAAAGCCATGGTAAAACTTGATTACGCATGTACATGTTTGCAGAAGAAAAGAAGATGTAAAAGGTCCTGTGGGTGTCACAGGTTAAGTGTGAGTAGGCTACAGAGGGTTCCCACTGTAGGGTGAAAATTACTCTATACTGGGGCTGTGCAGTATTATTAAGCTTGGTCCCTGAGAAGTCCAAAAGCAACTGTGGCATTACAGGCTGTGAGGAAAATGAAAGAAAAACTACACAAGGAGAAAGTAAGAGGAATAGAGAAAATACACCTGACCTCCTTCAATTTTTGCCTAAACCCAGCCTTAATAGTCCATCTGTCGTGTTAAAACTTATATTGCTAATAAGGAAAAGAGAGACCCCTCACATTGTCCCTCACACTCCTTTTTTGTATACACCCCCCAAACCGTTACTGCCTAAATAAGATTCTGTTGTTAATGCCTCCTACTACTACGAATTTTGAGGACATTTCTGTTACAATTTTAAATAAAATAATTTTGAATTTATTTTCAAATATTTCAAATGCATTAAAATATGATTAAAAACCATCAGGCATAAAAAAGTTTTCATTAACATCATGATTCATATAGGGATTATTTAGAACATTCTGCATTCTACCTGGGCAAAAGATTGTTTTCCCTTTCTGATAAGGGAATAAGGGATAAGAAAAACTGTCCTCCATTGTCTGCAAATAAGCCCTCTTGCTCAAAGTTCAAAATCACCTTGAAAGAGACTTGCTTACAAAAAATATAAACATATGGAATTTCCAATGTTGTGCTTTACTTTATCTGTTCGAACAGAAAAATAACAACATAGAGCAGGAAATATATTTTTTTCTTGTTATTTGAAGTTTTTTTTTTTATTTGTTTTACTGCTTGGTCTGGGCATTTGGTTTATTAACTGTAACTCTTAAAAGCAGAGATAATTTTTGGAAAATATGAACCAGAGAGAGAAATGTAATGAAAACAAAATTAAATAAACCTTTCAAGTGCCAAAAAGAACAACTAACCCAACAGAGGTTATTTTTAAAAATACAACCGTAATATCCTGAATTTGGTCATAACCTAGAATGTACACAATCCTCCTGTTGAGTTAGTGAGGACAAATTTAACTTTAGGAATTCTCTGGGGAAAAAGGAATTGTTCATTCAAGGAATAGTCCAGTTAATGTTTATTCCTTACCCTTTCCTTACCCTAAAGTCATCCATTTTTCCATTGCTTTGAAGCAGCTTATAAATTTAGTAATAACTACCATTGTTGAGTGATAATTAATCTGGCATCCTGTGAATGAATTTATTACATGTAAATTACCACAGTATATCTTCAAGCAGGCTCAAATGCACATGTGTATATCATCTGTGAGAAATATTTTGATCAACTCCAGAATAGTGTAAAACAGTTTGGGAAAGAGTAGCTTTCAAAAAACCTATTTTAAGGAAATTGAACAAATTATCTCTAATTTTGGCAACGCTAATTTCACACATTATTGAAACTTTGAGGTAACTACAGGGTTTTTAGATTATAATATTTTTCATTGACTATATATATACATAATATGGATAGACTATACAATAATTATTCATTAAAATCAGCTTCCAATATACTTCCTTATTTTAATTATTATTATTATTTTTAGAGACAGTGTCTTGCTCTGTTGCCCAGCCTAGTATACAATAGCATGATCATACCTTATGGCAGCCTTGAACTCCTGGACTCCAGTGATCCTCCCACCTCAGCCTCCCAAGTAGCTAGGACTGCAGGCATATGCCACCACATCTAGATGATTAATTTTTTGTTTAATAGAGACAGGATCTCACTATGTTGCTCAGGCTTGTCTCAAACTCCTCGCCTCAAGCAATCTTCCCACCTTGGCCTCCCAAAGTGCTGGCATTACAGGCATGAGCCACCATCCCTGCCCTCCACTAAATTTTCTATACTCTCTCATGTGTTTTATACTTTGTCATCATAATTGAGTATGGCATCAAAGAAAAATAAATATATGTTAAAGCTTTGGAAATTTTTAAATTGTTTACATACTTTTTAAAGAGTTCTATGTTGGCTATTTTATTAAACATATACCTAAATATTTGTATCTTAGAAATGTATAATACTATATGCCTAATTAATATGTCTAAATATTATTATGTATGTGCATATATGTATATAAATTCCTTTATAATATTAAATATATTGCTCCATTGTCTAATAGCTTCTAGTTTTGCTGCAGAGAAGTCAGAAGCTATGTTGACTCTTGATTCTCTTCATGTATGTTATTTTTTCCCTTTATGGAGGTATATAGAATTATCTATTTGTTCTCATCTGTTTCAGAATTTTACAATGATGTACACTGGTGAAAGCATATTTTCATTCACTGTGCTGGTATTTGATGTGGACTTTTAATCTGGAAACATGTCCTTCAGTTATTGAAAATTCTTGAAAGATTTATTTGATGATTTTTCTTTCTCTATTTTTATCGATTCCTTTGCTATGGAACTCTCATTAGTTGGATGTAGAACCTTTAAAAATAATCCACTTATTCTATTTTCTTATCTGTATGTTCCTTTTCAATATTACTCTGTGTTTTATTCATAGTTTTTTATTTCTTTTGGGAAAGGCAGTCTAATTCATGCAGTCTTTCAACCCCCACTTGGCCACATAAGGATGGATTTTTTCTGGCAAGAGATAAACAGTGCTCACAGCTTGGGCTGGGCTTATTGCCTTGTGTGGGAATATCTTTATCTGTTTCAAACTCAGTGTGCACTCCTTTGATTTGTTTAAGAACATGTGTCAGTGACTGTCAGGTACACCACTAGCTTTCTGTATTTCCTACTCCGTGGGTGAGAGGTTGAGATGCTTCTACTGTGGCACAAAGTGGGTTCTGTGTAGCTACATCATCCATCTTCACTGCAGAATGGATCCACCAGCCATGGGAGACTAACCCATTGGCACAGGCCTGAGCTTGTGCACTGTTTCTCTACTTTTGCTGTGAAGTAGATGCTGTACCACTTGAGCCTAGTGTGTGTGTTGTCTGTTCACAGTGAACTTGAATCATTCACTGGTCTCTTCCCTGGATGGCACACACTTATCTGCCTTGTAACCTGGCTGCACATCCTAGCTACCCAGGGAATAGTGAAGCAATATCTCCTTAAGAATATTCATTATATATATACATATGAAATTTACTTTTCCCTGCATACTTTGTTTTCTTCAAGTGTTTTTGTTGTTGCTTGTTTTGCTCATTAAATTCCATACTGGGTGATTTCATCACGTTTGTTAATCATTGGTTTTCTGCTTATATATAAGAGTAGGGGATCAAGATGCTGTTCAGAAACTCTGAGCACATGAGTGTGGGTGGTCAACTGTGAGTTTCATTGAAGAGTGGAACGTTTTCACTGAAAAACCAACTATAACAAAATATTTATGTTTTGCCTTTTGATTTGGTCAAATTCTGCAAAGACTTCTCTGTCTTCTGCCTGGAGCCAAGATTCTGAGAATCAAGGAAGAAATGAAGCAGGGGGCTGTGGGCATGTCAGCATTTTAAATAAATATACATACATGTGCGTAATACCTTAATACCTGGAGTATCTGGTATACCCCAGTTTAGAGATCCTCTTCTTTATTCTCTCCAGAGAAAAAGCCTCCATTGTTCTGTCAAGATTCAACTATCACCTGGTTACTTATAGTAGTATAAAAGATTCAGGGGTTATGTGTTTTTTTAAGCAGACTTTTAACCAATTCTTCCTCTCCTAACACCCTTTTCTCATTCAACTCATTTCCAGAGATACCAGGTTATATAGCATATGAAATGTTCCTAATTTAAATGTCAGTTTTGAAAGTACAGCCAAAATCAGCAAACAGATCAAAAAACAAAACATATCCCTTCCCCATGCAATCTGAAGTAAAGAGCAGAGAAAGGCAAATTACTATTTAGAAGTATAAAAAACAAAAAAAATACAGTAGCCCCTGGCGTCCAGGATCTGGACTGATACTTACAGCCAGGCTGTGCAATTCACAAAAATAATCTCACTGAATACCATCTTCAAATAAGTGTCATTCTGAGTCCATTATAAAGTGAAACAAAACAAGTCCAGTTCATAATTTTGTCTACGTCCTGACAAAAACAGAACAGTCATTGTGCCAACCACAAAATACCAATCACCTCCCCTTTTTGGCTACAAGGATGATTGCTCACTATTCTTTAATAATCAGCTTTGTACTTATTCTAATCTTCTCTACCTATAAATAAAATGTGTTAAAATACCAGTTATGAAATTGCTCCACTTTCTCACAGCATCCAACATAGAGCAACTCTCCTCCACCACTCCACCACTGCTGCTTCCTTAAACCCTTCCCCAAATCACTCAACCAAGCCCTCAAAATGCTATAAAAGATTCTTTCTAACACCTTACTGAGACACCTCATGATTACCCATTGTGATGGTTAATTTTATGCTTCAACTTGGCTAGATGCCCAGTTACTCAGCCAAACACCAGTTTAGATATTGTTGTGAAGGTGTTTTTTTAAAGATATGATTAAAATTTAAATTAGTAGGCTTTGAGTAAAGCAGATTACTTGCTGTAATGTAGGTGAGCATCATTCCATGGTGTTTGTTCTTCCCATGGCAAGGTGTGGGAGGCCTAATGTGTTTAATCATACAGTGTTTTTAGTGTCTTTTGTTGAAGAACATTGATACCGTTCTTCCCTGTTTGTGTTCTTTCATGTAACCAAAAAGGGAATAAAAAGATACTCTGCATCTCCATTCAACAAAATAATCTGGGAAATAAGGAAATTTTTTTCTCTTCATTTTTAATTTACTCTTTCATATAAAGAGAATGCTGAATATTTGAAAGTAATATACAACTTGTGTTTTACACAATTATTAAAGACTTTAAACTTACTTGAAGCATCAAATCAATTAAAAATGTATCATTTTAAAGAAGGTTGTATGCTAAATATGGGTGAATTTCTGTTCATAAACTACACATTATGTATCTTGATCTTGTCAAGCCTAATAAAAATACTGTTAAGCAGTTAAATAGTTAAAGCATACGAGCAATGTTAAAAGTATCTCCCTGAGAATTACAGATTTCTCTTCAAGATCAGTGCTTCTTTCTCTTAAAACATCAGCAACATTACAGGAATTGCACATCTTGCTGAATTCTGTTTCATGTACTTCCTATGTCCTGGACATCATTTTTTTCCCCATTTATTTCTACTTCCTGTACACAGAATTTGGACAATTTGTAATTTTTCCAGTCATTCATTGCACTTTTAAAAATGTTATGAGAATCTTGAGTGTTAAGGCTTGTGACGAAAATCAATCCTAATGGGAAATTGGTGAGTTCATTTATAATCAGGAAACCATTAAGGAAATTATATGTTTCAAGAAATCCCATTTGGTCATACGTTAGTGACTAGGCCAGTAATTAAATCACCCTTTACGTAACTATCAGAAAAAATAACCACTTGCTTTCATATACTCATGGCCCACTGCCACCGTACCCCAGGCTATAATCTTATCAGCCCTTGCAAACAGATCAGGTCAGATATGATATACATTTGGATGGAAACATTCCAAGAAAAACCCAGGTGTTACAGGAAGTGATATGGGTGATACAGTAGGTGGTGATCTTTCCTCTGAGTCATTTCTGGACCAATTACCCAACATGAGGCAAGGGAACAGTGGTGTGTGATGGCCTGTCACAAAACCAAGTTCTCCGTGGTGCAGTTTCTTACAGTCAAATAAAACATTTTTACAAACTGCCAATTTATGGTGTCTCTCAAACAAATTTTTACATAAAATACCTTGCATTTTTGTATATTCTTTACCTATCAAACAAGAATTATTAAACCGTTGTCAATTTAAATAATTTCAGCTCTGAATACTACTAAGGCTGTTGAAAGATCCTTAGGAATCGTTTGACTCAAACCTTAATTCTGTTTTGTTTTTTTTTTTAATAGAGTTTTGCTCCTTTCACCCAGGCTGGCTGGAGTGCAATGGCCTGATGTTGGCTCACTGCAACCTCCATCTCCCCGGTTCAAGTGATTCTCCTGCCTCAGCCTCCGTAGTAGCTGGGATTACAGGTGCCTGCCACCATGCCCAGATAATTTTTGTAAGTTTAGCAGAGATAGGGTTTCACCAAGTTGGCCAGTCTGGTCTCGAATTCCTGACCTCAGGTGATCCACCCGCCTCAGCTTCCCAAAGTGCTGGGAGTACAGGCACGAGCCACCGCTCCCCGCTCCAAACCTTAATTTTGTAACTAAATAGGAGATCATTAACATAAGTGGTAGCATTGGGACTTGCACCAGGTTTTCCAACATCTAATTCAGCTATGTTTTCTCACTGCTGCTTCTCCTCTATTTCACACTTTCTTCTTCAATCTTAACAATTTATTTCATTTTAATTCCAAACAGGTTATATCATAGTCCATTGGTTACTAAATAGCACACTATTAAGTTTTTCAACATAAAAGACTACTAGAATATTGCTTTTTTCCTTGTTTTTTCTTTGCATTTAATCAACCCATAACAAATTTAACCCAGACTTTTCGGGGTGAACTTTAGATTTTCAATAAAATCACCAATGATTTCCAATCATTATGAATTTCATAGAAAAAATACAGCTTTTAAAAATTAATCTTTGTAGCCTTACTTATTGAATCATTATATTCTTTTAAGGAAAATTTGTAGTAAGTCAGCTTTAACATTGATAGTTTTATTAAGAAACAATAGGAATAGATTAAAAAGTTAAGCATTCTTGGCATTATATATAAAATGAAAACTTAACAGATATTAGGACAAGTTAGAAAATAATGTTAATACTAGTTGCTACTGATTTTTTTAATGTAAGGAAAATACTAAATTTCTCCTTTGTCATTTAAACTAGGAAGAAATGCTATTTCAGCCAACTTTAAAAATCCATTCAGTAATTGTTTACAAAAATCTGCCAGATAAAAGGATGGAAGTGATGCAATTTCTCATCATTAAAAGGCAAAAACTTCCTGTTATTTCAATATGATAGAAGCAAATAGATAATAGACTGACTAGATGAAAGCATTTTTATCTACCCAACCTTTGAACTAGTCTGGTACACCCATATACCTGATCCATTAAGGCAGTCAAAAGCATTGGCACTTACAACAATTTATTTAGAAATTACCCTGCCTCCAAGTACTTGTACCATTTCCCAATTCATTCCAACTCTAATTCAGTTTCTGCATATTTCCAAATTCCTGACTCAGTCATCTATGGCTCTGGGCCCCAGATTTGTGCTTTGGCAACATTTGTTGTTGTTTGTGAATCACAGCTATGTTCAGTGGTATGTGACTTGCCTCTCGGCACCCAGGAGGCATCAGCAAAAACACCTGTGGCCCAATAAACCACAATTTTTGGGTCCAGTAAATTGGTCAATACACAGCCCACACCAAAATATCACTGAATTTGGCTTTGTATATTTGGTCATTTGATAACCATTCTGCAAAACTGACCCAATTTTTACTGGTTAAAGAACAATATTGCAGGAAAGTAGAGGCAGACAGCTTTTTAAGTCCTTTAAAATGATACAACTGGTTAATATAATGATGGCTACTAGATACAGAAAAAAATCTAGGTGTTTTAAATTTCAGATCCATAGCTATGCTGGATAACATTTTACCTTAAAATAATGACACATTTCAATCACAGCAGAAACATCGTAAATTGGGATACTAAATTCTACTGAAAAAAAGCCTATTTTGTGGATATTTTTTTCCTGAAGATAGTATACTACTACTAGATTTTAATACAAATAACCAGCATGCTACTTTATCATCTTTTGTAGTGCCCACAAAAAATTTATTAATAAGAAGTTACATGTTTAATTTACTCATCTGTCCTAAGGATTAAATAAAAAGATAAGTTTAATTAAAATAAGAGATATGTAGAACTGGGCCTTATAGAATGTGGCATATTGCAATAGTTCTTAAATTATAAGCTAACTTGAACAGTTAAAAAACTGATTCAGCTTATCATTTTAATTAAAGTCTGTTAAAAGAACATGCTGAGTTTGTCTTCATAGCTATTGGAGAAATTCTGAGCATTTACCTAAGGATGACACCTACTCTGTATCATACATTACAATAGATTTTAAAGTACAAGACTAAACACACAGTCCTTGCTCTCCCCTATTGCTTATTCTACTGAAGAAGATATACAATTAATAACATTGCCAGAAGTTCCATGATAGCCATATGTTGACGGTACAATGACACTACAGAAGAGAAATACATACTCAATCCGAGGAGACCTTTCACGGTAGTGATATTGGGTCTGATTCTTGAAAGGTAAATAGTTAGGGAAGTAGAAAAGTGGGAAATAAATTGTTAAGGTAAAGAAAATAACATGGTTTAAGGACAGATGCAAGGAAGCTTGGATTCTTTGGGAAAATATTAACAGTTAATTATGACCAGTGTTTAAAGTAGATGAAATTCTGCTGTGAAGTTTGGGTTGTGTGATGGCTTTATGCTGTATCAACTTAGCGAAGCTGGAATTACATTTTCTACAATTTATTTCCCTGAATGGCTTTGGCAATTATTTGCTCCCAAGAGAAAGTTATGTGAGTTTGGAAAGGCTCAAAAGTGAAGCAGAAACCATGTTTATGCTTGAAAGGATAGTGTAGTTAAGATCAGGTGCTTCCAGCTCACACGGGCTGCTATGGATCTGCTGGCCTACTTTTTTGGCTTGAAGCAGCTATTTGGTTCACTGGTTCTGCAGTTCCCGATATAGTCCACCTTCAGTTTTTCAAGTGTGCATTTGGTTGCCAGCTTCTCCTTCAGGTCAACTGCAGAATTATTGGAGGCTTGGAGCCAATGAGGGACCAATGCAGGTGTCAGCTCATCCAGACAGGTTCTGATTAATCCATCCATGGAGGTCTCAGCTCATCCTCATGGGTTTCAGTTTGTCTTTTCTCTTCCCAAATTTATATCCATCTTTCTTTCCTGGCTGGCTGCTCTGCTAACTTCAGATCCAGAACCAGATGCAGATGCAACAGACATATATGCACCTCTTAAGCAGTTCATACAATTTCATAACAGCAAATCCTATAATAAATACATTATTCTGTTGGTTCTGCTTTTCTGACAGAAACCTGATGATACAGGTGGAATCCAGAAAGTGATCAGAAGCTCTTGAAATAAATTAAGTGGTGAAGAAACATGATCAGATATTCAGGTTTTAAAAACTATTCTAGGCCGGGCGCGGTGGCTCACGCCTGTAATCCCAGCACTTTGGGAGGCCAAGAAGGGCAGGTCAGGAGATCGAGACCATCCTGGCTAACACGGTGAAACCCCGTCTCTACTAAAAATACAAAAAAATTAGCAGGGCGTGATGGCGGGCGCCTGTAGTCCCAGCTACTCGGGAGGCTGAGGCAGGAGAATGGGGAGAACCCGGGAGGCGGAGCTTGCAGTGAGCCGAGATTGTGCCACTGCACTCCAGCCTGGATGACAGAGCGAGACTCCGTCTCAAAAAAAAAAAAAAAAAAAAACAACACACACACACACACACACACACACACACACACACAAACACGAACAATAACAAAAAAACTATTCTAATATGAATGATTGGCTGGATGGGGGTGAGTAAAGATTGGAAGCAGAATGATATGTAAGCTAGCTGTAGTTATAATTTGTTGTAAAAGACATAGAGCCTGGGAAAAAGTACAAGTAAAAATGTAATAGAATGGAGAAAATGGATTCAGAAAATAGTCAAGAAATTAAGTTGTCAGAATTGGTAACTGGCTCTGATGAGTGCAGAGGAATAATAACTTCGTATTACCGAGATGTGGTGTGGAGGCATGGTCAGATCTGAAAATGTGTTTTCAACATGGGGAGTTGAATGTGGGACCACTGCACTTGATTGTCAACCGGAGATTTTCAGTACAAATTTAGCTATATGAGTTTGAAATTCAAGAGCGAGATCTGAATTGGAGTTAATGTACGAGGAATGGAAAAGAGAAGTGTGCTTAAAAGAAAAGCTGGTAATACTTAAGGAAAGAATGTCATTGCAAGAGGGGTGAGAGATGGTAAAAAAAAAGAAAAAAAGGGTGAAGATCTCTGGAGGAAAGCACATTTTTATTTTAAGAGAAATAAGAATAAGATGAAAGGAAGAAGGGTATTCACCCTAACATCGACCTTACAAAGGCATACTTCTGAGGCTCTCCATTGTTTTTATCTTATAGATATTGAGTAATAGGATTGTATAATGTCTATATCTATAGACTCTGGACCTAATGCATGGCTCTGCCACATGTTCGTGATGTGATCATGGATTCTCAAAATATCAGCTTCTTTAAATGTTAATGAGATAAAAGTAGTATTGGATTCATAAAAATGTTAAGATGATTAATAAATAAATACAGAAGAAGCGCTCAACAAATGGTTATGTCATTTATTGCTTCATTTATTACAAATGATAATAATTACAGCTGCATCACTATGTAACAACACAATTGACATTGATGATTTTGCCATATTTTGATAAATAAACCATGTACTCAGCACTCAAAACTAGAAAAGGTATAGATTATCTCCATCCCATTAGTGAAAAAACATACTTTGTATGCCTTAGTCTATAGGTCTAAAACCATTAATTTAATTGTAAATAAACTTAAAAACTACCATTAACATTTTAAAATGTCTGTTTATTATTATTTATAAAAGTTAAATGTACTAATTATAATAAAAACATAAATTATATGTATATATGTATATACATGATATATAAACAATATTTATTTGTCTTATATTTTGTCTAACTGCTCCTATTTCTAATATTTTCAAGGGTCACATATTTCTTTTCTATATAATTATTATGAAGTACTTGAAATTTAAATATTTTATATTTAATATATTTTCTGTCAAAATTGAGACATAAAAATGAAATGATTATATTGTCAATAAATATTTAGCATTAATACATAAAGTGGGATATTTCACCATGATTTAATGGAGTTTGAAATATTTTTTTACAACTATATCTATACTAGATCATGAATAAATATTGGAGAGACCTTTGTTATCTAGAAGAGCAGCTATATCTTCCATTAAAAAGAATGAGAAGCACATTTGTAAATTCTTTTCACCTTGCCAGATCTCAGTGCCAAACAGCTAGATATGTTTGGTAATAAAGCTCCACATGGAAGAAAAAGAAAGTACATATTTGGAAATTGATTAGAAGAAAGTTCAATTGCTCTATAGTTTGATAAAAATGCAAATGTTGAGACTGTGCTCATGGAATTTTTTCCTTCTAAAACATATCAAGAAAAATTTTTCCCTGAAAATGGATTTATTGTAGCCATTTTTAAGCTAAATAACTCCACATAGCATTGTTAGTTTCAGAAGAAGCAGACATTCTTAAGAAACTGAAATTTCAATCCTAGATTTTATAAATAAATAAAATGATTAGCAACGTGTTGAGAATAGTAAAGAATTTTTTCTCTAGATATATTTTACATATTATTAGTAAATGGTTTCATTATTTATTTAACTATATTTTTGTTTTGAGCTTAGATTATAATTGTGTGAAATTTCACACATTTCTGTGTGTGTGTGTATATATATATATATATATATATATTTTTTTTTCAACATAAAGAAAGTTTATAGAAGATGACACTGCTGAGACTCAAAAAATCTATGTGACTCAGCCAAGGTGAAAAAGTGACAGAGTCAAAACTAATACTCAAACTTTCATAGGTATTTGTTAACATAAAACTGTAAGAAACCAACACTAAATAGCAGAGCTTCCTCTGATCTTTAAACATTGAAGGGGAACAAGCTTAATTTATATTTCCTACACTAATTCCCAGAAGTAGCAGTGAAGTAGGAAATCTCACCAGGGCCCCAACACTACTCTGCCACATATTTATGCTTCATTGGTCACTACCTTTTTCACATTTTATCAGTCTTCTCAACTAAGTTCAAATACTTCCAGCCGAAAACAAAGCCAACAAATCAACTAATCACATAACCAGATAAAACTCACATTAAAAAATAAAAAAGCAAAAAAAAAAAAAAACTAAAAACAAGCAAACCTTTTCATTTTACATTCTCCTTTAGCCATTGCTGTCTCTCTCCTTTTTTATCACAACACTTCAAACTTACCTCTTCATTTCCTTGTCTGCCATTTACTCTCAAAACAAAAGTGTTCCCTGCCCCCATTATTCTAGTTAAATATCTTTAACAAGATTGCCATTGCACACCCATCGGACTTTTAAATATATTCTTATCTAACTAGAACCCATAACATCATTTGATGTTTTTGATCTTCTCTCACCTCTCCTACTTGAATTCTATTAAAGCACACACTACTAGTTTTCTTTTGGTAACCCATGTTTCTTTATCTGTTTGGAAATGCTCACATCACTGTCATTTTCAGGCCTTCTTCCTCTTCAACTATATTCATGGATTGAGCAATCTCACAAATTGTATGACATTAATTTTCACTCATTTTCAAATGGCTGTCTCAACCCCAACACAACCAAAAATCTAACATATTCCACTTGGATATTTTGTAAACTAGCATCGCCAAATTTGAACATGTCCTAACTCATAGAACTGTTCTTCCTTGTGTACCACAGAGCCTAGAGTACAGAACACATGTAATAAATTGTTGTGTGAAGTCATGAAAATGAGTTCATATAACCATGCTTCACTAATTATAAAATTAATTCCCATTTCACCAAATCCCGGTGAAAAGCTGAATAACTTTTTCCATTTAAGTATGATTTTCATGTCTATGAATTAAAAGTTGCATAAATATGACAGAGAAAAGTTGAATAATTATGAAAGAGAAGAATTTTAAATAACAGCTAAGGCTTAACATGAATTAAAGTAAGTAAAAAGAAAAGTTTGGGAATATACTCTTGGTTAATTTCTTTATATTTGTTAAGATGTAAGAAGTGAGGTCACTTTAGAACTAAGTATAAGTTCAGTTATGAACTAAACAGTAACATTTTCAAATAATTCTACAGTGTTTAATAAACATCTTTCATTGCTGATTCTCTAAGTAATTTTATACCTTAGATATAGTAAGTATTTAGGAAAATATTTGGATTCTCTGTTCTTATTTATTTGAATATACAACTGTACTTGATAACTTCACCAGTTCAATTTTGAAAGAGGAGTTTTGGCTCCTGCAACAGTTGCTATATTGTCAAATATTGAATTTACAATTTGTATTGCATACCACTTAATGCATTCTTAAGTAACTCAATCCAAAATAAATATTAAGCATACAAATTTTAAAGATTTAAGATTTCCGTTACTATAATACCCAAAGCCAGGAAGAAATTTTGCCAAAGCCATTACATAATCTATTATGTATTATTTATATTGCATTGAGTAGTGTAAGGGAAAATAAGCATTTATTCCACAGTTAACCTATAGAATTAAAATGATTATGAATGCAACAATGAATACGGGAATGTAAGAGTGAAATATTGTGGACATAGATGAAGAACAAATAATGTGAAGAAATTATTTTTCTAAAACAAAATATCAGAGTTTATTAATTAATATGCTTATCTTAGTCAAGAGCTGGACTATTGAAAATTCAATTTAAAAATTGATCTATACTATCATAATCAGAAATATTATATTTAGAAATGCCAATTATATCATCTACAGGACTTAAGCTACAGAGGAATACATCATTTAAGAAAATGTCAGATTGAACACTTTCTCTAAAGTTTAAAACAATTTAGATTACTATGGTCAACATGGTCAGGTGGCAATTTTAGTATTTTAAAAATTGGAAAAAATAATAAAATATTTGAACACAAATAATTTACAAAGTAACCACTGGATAATATTTGCAGGTATTGGCAGCACATTAAGTAATAAGCTTGATGATGCTTCTCTCTCTTAGACACCCCAAAATGAAAACCAAACTACTGTGAAAGCACTTTGGTCTGGCTAATCCTCGATCTCATCCTAGATGAGACTTGGATGTCTAACCCTTCTTTGTGCAAACTTCAACCAATCCTTACCTTCTGAGCTTTACAGCAGTCCTTCATTTTTAAAAAGCCATTTGGCCTCCAATTTTGAAAACTTTCAGGGTTTTGAAGAAAAATTAGGGAGGTTTTGATTGCTAACCTCCTCCCTTATTAGTTGAAGAAGGATCTAAAATTTTATCAAATTCTTGTGGTAAATCAGCTTGGCCATGAAAATTTAATCAGCAATGAAAGGAACCTGGAACCAGCCTTTAAAACCTAGCCAGGTATTCTCCCTGACAACATCTCAAGACCACTAGCTACTTACTAATAGTTTTGATAACATTTCTTAAGCAGAATTTACATAGCACCTAGAAGGTTAAAAAAAAAAGACAATAGGTTTAGATTATACAAGACAATAGATCCAGATTATTATAAAAGTTATATCCTCTGTTAACAAGGTTATTTTTTTCTAGCATGCCACCTTTCAGATAAACATAAAAACTATTTCATCAATATTATTTATTAAACTTTCATTTACCATGGCAAGAGGACAACATGTGAAATACACAAATACAAAGCAAGTTAAGTACGCATGGTTTTTGCCTTCCAGAATCTGAACTCAGAACCCATTATATACACTTTTCTATAGCCTATGAAAGATAAAATTTGCATATTAAAAATTCTAGATATTATTGTAGTGGGTGTTAATTAGCTGGAGGAAACTCAGCACTTAAATCATAACACTTGTTTGACTCAGCAAAAATGGAATGTTGCAGCTTTGTAATCTGATAGACCACAGAAAAAATTGAAATTATACCAGTTAGTATTTTTTCAATCTGGAAAATGATGGTGATAATGAAAGACATGCATAATTATGGAAATTATGAAAACATATATCCTGTGCCTAATGTTTCCTGGCATATACCAGGTACTTTTAAAATGTAAAGTGTTGTTATTTTTTAGCAAGTAACTCTTATGCAAGCATTGTGCCTCAGGCCCTGTGTCATGCTCTGGATAAAATGAGGAAAAAAACAATAGGATCTGTATCTAGAGGGAGCTCCAGCAATGGAATTCATTTTATTATTATTTTTAAAATTTCCCACTTGTATTTTAGGTTTTGTGCTGGGAATATTATAGTGAATAAAGAAAACTGGGTCCTTATTCTTGTGGAGAGATAACAAATGTAAAATTATCAAGCTATAATAACAAATTCAAATAAAAGCCCAGAATACAAAGAAGGAACTTGATACTAGGGTTTAGGGAAAGGATTCCTTGGAAAGGACATTTACACAGAATCTGTGGGGGTAAGGTTAGGAGGCTGTAGGTAAGGGAAGGAGTTGGCAAAGCAATTCTGGAGGAAGAATCAGTATAGAAAATACAAGTGAAGTTCTACTAAAGGAAAGTATATGTTGTTTCACAGAAAAAGCATTAGTATTAGTACACTGGAGTGGAGAAGGAGAATGGCTTAAGATGAAGATGGAGAGGGAACAAGGGCCAGGTCAGGTAGAAAAATGTAGACTGTGTAAGCATTTTTAAATTTTATTCTTCAAATAAAGCATAGCCTTTAAAGGACTGTTACAGAAAGTTGACATGATATGATTTAAATATTAAGATTACCGTGGCTGCTTAGGGAAAAATAAATTCAAGGAAAAGTTGATGTAGGCAGACACGGTGGGATATTATTGGAATGCTTCAGGCAACATAGGTAATTCAGAATTTTTAATGACAGCTAGAATAAAATAAACATTATGAATTGGCAAAAAAAATAGTATCTAGGTCTAAAAGAAAGGTGCATCACCTTGCTTTACAATGATGAGGCATTTTGACTAAATTGGGTTTGAAGGGATTACATTTAGTTATGGGTTTTGTCTAGATTCTACGAATATTATGTAGTAGGTATTAGTTTGAATACCCTTTCCCCCTTTCTTTTTAAGATCACCGTCTCAATATCTTCCTGGGGAATTTCCTCACTCTGTGAAGTCATAGTTAGACTTTGATCAGAATGTCTTGCTCTTCTCTAATTAAGGGATAGGACAACTGATCTATTTATCCAGATTTTGAAACTTTAGAAGGCTCAGCAAAAGGGGGAGAAAGTTTGGCTGCTAAATATTTGCAGAAGTTACTGCCTGATAAAACTATCAATTAGCTTCCTCCACTTGGAACCTTGATTCTACTCCAGTTCCAGTTCCTTCAAAATTAGTTACTCATTATTCTCCTTAAGTGTCTGAACTGTTTCACATGTTTACAATAAATTATTATTTTGCTAACACCAGCTAGGCACTGTTACTGTTCATTTCAATCAAAGTGACGCAGCAGACATGCACTAAGTGATGAGTAACATGCAGAACAAACTGGAGGACCTCCAGGAAGAAGTTCTTGCAGTGGTTCTTAACCTGTTGTTAATGTGAGAGTGCCACAGGTCTTCTTTCTCTAAAATTTCAAATATGCACAAACACATGATACCTTGCATGCAATTTCAGGGAGTTCATGAACCCCTGAATTCATTCCCTAAAAGCCCCTAGGTGTTAGTGAAGCCCAAATTAGGAACACTTGTCTAAATACACAATTCTCTCCTCAAAATAGTTAAGTACTGCAATATCCTTCACATTTAGTTTAATTCTGAACTCCTCTTCAAAAAGTTGGTGATGTAGAATATGAAAGAAGACACCAGACAACAATTGAATGAAAATACAATTAGGAGTATACATCTTATGTCAAAGGAGAGTTTTTTTAAAAAAAATTACATTTGACAATTTCACCTGAAAAGAAATGAACCATGTTGCTTCTAATGATACCAAGGCCTCAATAACGTGAAAAGTTGAATCTACTTAGAAATCACATACAAAAGAATGGTTGTTTGTAGGGATCTCTCTATAAATATTCTCTTATACTCCAAATTGGAAATTTTGAGTATAAATGTATTTTTGGTACCATGGTAAGTATCAATGAAGAAAAATACCCAAGTGAATATTTTTGTTTTTGTTTTTCTGAACAGTCTATTTTTTTTTTTTTGCTCAAAATTGCTACTCAGCAATTCATTAGTTATCAATTAGAGAATTTTCTCATTTCTTGGTACTGTCATACTATTATCATTGATGTACATTTGAGATACTAGATGCTTTATAAAAGCATTTCAAAATAAGCATTTTATAAAATAAAATAAGTGGCATTAATTTGGAGAATTGGGAAAAATAAAAGGAGAATTTTTCACTTTGGAAGAAAATTAGAGATATCATTGAGTCTAGCAAAATATAGGTGGCAATAATTGTTTTACTGACTTAATTTAGAGAAAGTTTTCTTACCATTCTGCCTGTCATGAACAAATCCAAATTGATAACTGCCAACTATAGATTTTCAGAAACATTTTATTATTGAAAGTATTTACTAAAATTGCTTTGAATAAAATAAGAAAAAAGGAAGATCGCTTAAAGCTTTGTTTTGTTAAACATCAAATCTACTTGAGTATACAAATACACATAGATATATAAAATATGTATTAATTAGGTATATTTATATTTGCATATATTCAAATTAAATACATTTTATTTGAACATTTCTGCGACAGAGCTAGGCATCACCATGTGTTTAAAATGCATCACATTTTTTGAGGATTATGAATGTTGTCAATGTTGTAATTCTATAACATACTTAAAATAAATATGTGAAATGCATTTCATTAGGCACACAACATATGCAGCCGACGGAAAATAAAGATTGTTTCCGTATGGGGCTTCGTATTCTGACTGCCTTCAAAAAGATAACTGAAACATAATAGATTAAGATCATTTTACAGCCTGGATAGTAGCATTTGGATTTGGAACAGAAAAAAAAAATACCTGCTTATTAAAGTGGCTACAGTACAGCCACTGCAGTTTGCACAAGGAATCCTGAAGCTTTGATGCCCAAGCTTGTGTACTCATTGTTTGAAAGAACTAAATGAAACTCAGGTTAATTATCTCTCAGTCTGTGTAATGGAGACATGCCAGATCTTCTAAAAAAATAAAAAATAAAAAATAAATAAAAGATGTTGCTGATCAGGGTGATGATCTGCAGCTTATCAGAAAACATCTAAGATTCATTTTCTTTTTATAGTTAAACTGAACTCTTTTCCAGAGATTCATGATCTTGCAAATTAGCCCCTCCAGACGCTGGGAAAAGCTTGTAAAGATTTTTTTTTCTCTTCACCTGCTTGAATTGAAAATGAGTAACAAGTGTGAAAGTGCTTTAATATTACAAATGTGAAAATCAGGACTTTGATCAAGAAGAAACTCTAATCAAGATATGCAGAACTGAAACACAGTTAAAGATATAATATTTTATTTGGAACAGATCTTGGATTGAATATAAAGTATTACATAAAGCCTAAGAACATGATAAACTATGAAAGAGAACATATTTAATCTGTAGGCAATAGGCAAGTGTTTTTAACTGTTCTTCTCTAACAATTCTTTACTCTGTTGTTCTTAAGGGAAAGCCCTATCATTTTTGCAATGGATATACATTCCATATTTCATGAAGCTCTATATTTCCATTGTGCTGTCTTTAATCATAGACATGGTTTCAGCTCTAGTCTGAGATTTCAGGAAATTGCAGAAGTGATTGTCATCACAGACACAGCTTAATTTCTAGTGTGGTGATGACATAACAATTTGCCCAAGGCCAAACCAAAACAGAAAAGTCTTTTATAAAATGATAGAGTGGTTTATTCCACAGCTTGAAAATTCACTATAATAATATTAGGGAATGTTAATTAGAAATTTAGTTTAGATTGAGCTTTGAAACCTTAATGCAATTGATTGCATGGGAAATATTCGACATTATGATAATGAAAAAATTATATTACACTCTTTCTTACACATAGGAATTTCATTTAGTTTTTAGGGAAGGCAGATGTTATATGGCCAAGAAATGAAGAGAAAGTAGAGATAAAACCAAGAAAGTGGAAAATAATATCTAAATACTTATGTATGACTATATTCATATTTGGAAGTCCAGGAGACTTGTTTCAATTACTATTTGCTGCTCTATAGTTATAAAGTTTTGGTAAGTTTATTAACTCTGGGTTTTCAACAGTATCAAAACTGCAAGATTTTTATGTGTGAAAATGACATTAAAGGAAAAAAATAGGATTGTTAGCTATTTAATATAATACCACCTATTAGAAGCACAGTAAATAATAGCTATTGAATTTTTCTAGAACTGTATTATGTAGATCTTTCAGACATGTTTATATTTGGCAGAATTTAGAGCCCTGAGACCTATCAAATTGAAAGTGAACAAGATCTAAAATGCAATTTCTTAGGAGAAGTGCTTGTTTATAATGTATAATCAACAACCTAATAGTTTCAGGGATAAGAAAATTGTGTCCTTTGGACTGGAATTAATTCTGCTTTTTATCATGTACTCCAACCCTTTCTTTTCACTTCATAGTCCTAACTCCTGTATTTTATTTCAATGCACACTTAGAAAACCTTAATAATGTTTATTTTAAACCAACAAACATGCAAACAACTGGGGAGAATGCTCATCAAAATCTTACATTAGTCAGAAATTAAATATCACAGAAAAAAATATACAAGGGAGATGATTGGTGAAAGTTGGCACTTAGAAAAAGTAATGTCCACTAAAAAGATCTTGAAATCTGAAGGTTTATAGCCTTCGAAAAAAGTTTGGAATGTAATTTACTTCACCTTCCTGCCTTACATAGAACCTCCTCTAAACAAGTTCATATATATGGCAATCTCCTTTGCTTTTAAAGAGTTCCAAGTTCTGAAATTCCATCAACTCACTAGGTAATTAATTATATCTTATTGTAAATTTGTTACAATGCCTATGCTTAAGGGGCAATATGGTTGTTTTGTAAATGTGGTAATCTGAATAAAAGATTGAGGCCTACCAAATTACACTGCTTTGCAGAAAATTTATAAGCATTTAATAAATCAGTTATGAAATATATATTATTTATATTTAGGAAGTACTAGTTGGTTGATTGCATTGGGGGTAAGCTATAGGAAGGTGTCATATAAGACACAAAGTTTCTGCTGTAAATTTAGATGAGTAGCCTGTTAGGATGTTTCCACCATGAGTTCAGTTTTGAACACACAGATTGTGAAATACCATTCAAGAAGAGGTGTTCCCTATGCAGTTGTATACTCACTAGGTAACTAATTATATCTTATTATAAATTTGTCATGTCTGAAACGTAGAATAGAAAGAGGCCTGTGCTGATGATAGAATCTTGGAAGTGATCAGCAGGTAAACAGCATTTAAAGCCATTGAAGTTAGTTGGTTCACATAAGTAAAGAGCAAAAATGATTAACAAAGGTGTGAACAAAGGAGCTAACAGACTCCTGAAAGCAAAAAATAATGAAAAGGATCTGGGAGAAAGGTAGAAATAAAACTGGAGTGTTTAGTATCTGGGAGGGATAGGAGGAAAATTTTCCAAAACAGAATAGTCAACTGTGTTGGAGGCAGTTAAGAAGCAAGGAAAGTAATGACCAAGTTTCCATTAGAAATGATTGGTAAACATACCAAGATCATTTTTATGCAAAAGTTTGGTGTCTGGGGTAGGAAGGTGTTGAAATGGTTTGAGAAGAGAATGGGAGGTAAAAGGAGGAGAAAGTCTAATACGACAGGAATGACTTCAGTGAAGAAGAAAGAAGAAGAAGAAGAAGAAGAAGAAGAAGAAGAAAAGAAGAAGAAGAAGAAGAAGAAGAAGAAGAAGAAGAAGAAGAAGAAGAAGAAGAAGAAGAAGAAGAAGAAGAAGAAGAAGAAGAGGAGGAGGAGGAGGAGGAGGAGGAGGAGGGGGAGGAGGAGGGGGAGGAAGAAGAAGAAGAAGAAGAAGAAGAAGAAGAAGAAGAAGAAGAAGAAGAAGAAGAAGAAGAAGAAGAAGCAGAAGAAGAAGCAGAAGCAGAAGCAGAAGCAGAAGCAGAAGCAGAAGAAGAAGAAGAAGAAGAAGAAGAAGAAGAAGAAGAAGAAGAAGAAGAAGAAGAAGAAGAAGAAGAAGAAGGATATGGTTTGGATATTTGTCCCCCAAAGTCTCATGTTGAAATGTAATCCCCAATGTTGGAGGTGGGGCCTGGTTGGAGGTGTTTGGGTCATGGAGGTGGATCCCTCATGGTTTGGTGCTGTCCTTGCCATAGTGAGTGAGTTCTCATGAGATCTGTTTGTTTAAAAGTGAGTGGCAAGTCACCACCCCCATTCTCCCTCCTTCTCCACTCCTGCCATGTGAGACACCCGCTCCCCTTCACCTTCCACCATGATTGTAAGCATCCTGAGGTCTCACCAGCAGCAAATTGTGGCACTATGTTTTGCATACAGCCTGCAGAACCTTGAGCCAATTAAATCTCTTTGCTTATAAATTACCCAGCCTCAGGTATATGTTATAGCTATGCAAAAACAACCTGATAAAGAGATTATTTTTCATGAGGAAAGAGGGGAACAACACATAGAGTGAAAAATTGGGAGGTGACATGAACCCAAGGAAACTTGAGGAAATGGCCTTTGATAGGAGGAGCATTTTTTTTTCATGATTTAAAATTATCAGCTGAGAATGACAGTGGTAGATGGAGCATCTCAGAAACTGGAAAAAAAGAAGTGGCTAGAAAAATATTAAGATATCTTGCAAGTGTTGAGGACACGGTTAGTGTTAATAATAATGTGTTTACACTCATGTTATTATGAAGGTTATTCAGTTTTCCCTAGCTGTATTCTGATGGCATGAAGAAAGCGAATGCTTTGATGTAGAGTTTTGGGAATTGGGGTTTAATCCAGCCTAATCAGGTCTTTGCATATAGTGAATCCAAGCATGATAGTGAAGTGAATATAGCAAGAAACTGATGGGTAGGAAAAACTGGACAGGTCAAGCATTTATAAGAATGAATGAGGTGGAAAATTATTAACAGTGGAAAAAGTTGTTTGAACAATTTATGTTTGTGGACAGTCAGTGGGTTTATGTGTAAATATATATTTACATAATTGGAATTATCCTCAACATAGTGTTGAGTTGCAACTTGTCACTAAAAAGTCTTTGTACATATATTACTGGCTGAAAGATTCTACCATGTGAATGTATTTAACCATCCCCCCCTTTGTAGTTGTTCCCAGCTTTTGCTACCCTAAATAATGCTGTGATAAACATTCTTGTACATAAATATGAGAGCCACTAAGAAACAAAAAGACAATTGTTTTTGTTCTTAGTAAACCAATGCTTTACTTTCCAATATTGAAATTTCTAGGCAAAGGAAAATAAGAATAATTCAATGGAATCAACATCAAATCCTGGTAGACTTCCACCTTAAATATTAATTTTTGCAATACTGACACCTTTGGTGTGGTAGCATTTTCAATTTGCATATTTTTCTTTAAAAAATTATTTTCAAAAATTCATGATTAAACAAAACTCGTTTTTGAAGTTTGAAAAAAGATACATTGAAAGTTGCCTGTAGTACTCGGTTCAGGATCTAACTCTTTAAAAATATTAGTTAAAATTAAAGTTTTAGAGTGCTTTAATGGTAATGTATTTTAATTACTTCAGTTTAAGATTATAAAGTTGTTGCTTGGAGAAATGATTCCTTTTTCTAGTCACATAATGATTTCCTTAAAGATACTAAATATTAAAGATAATACTTTTTGAAAAAGGCACAATTAAGACCCTTAAAAATATTAAATGAAATGTGTCAAAATGACACTTAACTCATTAAACATTAAGGAACCAGTAAGATGTTATCACTGGTTCAAATAACCATACATATAATAAGACTATTAGGAATGGTGGAATACATTTATTCAATAGATGACAAACTGTTAAACCTGGTCAATATACACATAATACAATAACCAACTGAAACTCCACCAGACGGTTACATTTCTAAGGACAATAGTAATTTGCATTACTTTAAATATTCTATAACTTAATAGAGCTGTAAAATAGTCCAAAGACAATGAAACGCACAGGTAACCAGAAATTGTGCTAGCTAGTCAGGACACCCAATCATTTTTCTTGTTTATTTGTAAGTATTTTGCAATTATCTAGCATCTCCCATTTCCCATTTATTAAAAGAAAACAATGATTAGTATTTATTACATGATAAAACTGGTCTCATTATGGTTGGCAGGATTATTTAGGAAGATGCTGCAAATGTGTTACTTTACCATGTGGTACTCCTGTAGTTTGCTTAGCAAATCTAAACATACACAATCTTAAAAAGTTACTGAGGTCACAGGAATAATACTGTCTAGATGTTTCATAATGAAAAATCTCAGCTGAAACTTTGAAAAGTCTCCCTTAATTGCTATTCAGAGCATAGGAAACCAAGCCACACAAACTCTCCACAATTAGATTCCACTTGTGGTATATAATAATTTGGGTAAATTCCTCTCTTCACAAGATGCCACAAATTTACTTAGGTGCCTGAACCCACTAAGTCTGGAAACAGATATTTCCCTGGAAGAACTTTGTAAGCATTGGCTCCAGGAGTGAAACCACCTACATTCCGTAACAGTGGTTTCTCATACCATTTTATTTTGTATGTTCTATTTTTTTAATTGGCAAGTAAAAAATAAATATATTCATGATGTACACATAACATTTTGATATATGTATACATTGTGGAATGTCTAAGTCAAGCTATTTAACATGTGCATTACCTCATGTACTTATTATTTTTTGTAGTGAGAACAATTGAAATCCACATTCTTAGCCATCTTCAAGTATAAAATATATTATTAATCACAGTCACCATGAGGTACAATAAATATCTTGAACTTATTCCTCCTGTCTTTCTGAAATTTTGTATACTTTGACCAACATCTTCCCAATTCCCTCAATTCCCAGCCTCTGGTAACCAGCATTTTACTCTCCATTTCTATAAGTTCAACATTTTCTACCCTCTACAAATAATTGGATTATGTGGCATTTGTCTTTCTGTGTGTGGCTTCTTTCACTTAACATAATGTCTTTCATGTTTTTGCAAATGACAGGATTTTCTTCTTTTGTATAGCAAAATTGGATTCCATTTATATACATCACATTTGCTTTATCCATTCACTTGTTGATGAATTCACTTAGGATGAATCTATATCTTGGCTACTGGGAATAATGTTGCAATGAACATAGAAGTGTATGTATCTCTACACAAATGTTGAACTTACAGAAATGGAGAATAAAATGCTGGTTACCAGAGTCTGGGAAGTGAGGGAATTGGGAAGATGTTGGTCAAAGTATACAAAATTTCAGATAGACAGGAGGAATAATTTTAAGATATTTATTGTACATCATGGTGACTATGATTAATAACAATGCTGAACTTACAGAAATGGAGAGTAAAATGCTGGTTACCAGAGTCTGGGAACTGAGGGAATTGGGAAGATGTTGGTCAAAGTATACAGAATTTCATTTCCTTTAGATATATATATTTATATATATCTAGTGGTGGGATTGATGCATTACATAGTTGTCCTATTTTTAATTATCTGAAGAACTTCTATCCTGTTTTCCTTAGTGGCTTGGCTAATTTACATTTCTACCAATAATGTGCAAGAATTTCAATGTCTCCACCTCCTCTCTGACACCTATCTTTCTTTTATGATAATAGTCATCCTAACAAGTGTGAGATGATATCACTTTTTTGTTTTGTTTTGTTTTGTTTTGAGACACCGTTTCGCTCTTGCCCAGGCTGGAGTGCAGTGGGGTGATCTTGGCTCAACACAACCTCCGCCCCCCAGGTTCAAGTAATTCTTCCACGTCAGCCTCCCCAGTAGCTGGGATTACAGGTGCATGCCACCACATCCAGCTAATTTTTTGTATTTTTAGTAGAGACGGGGTTTCACCATGCTGGCCAGGCTGGTCTCGAACCCCTGATCTCAGATGATCCACCAGCCAGCCTTGGCCTCCCAAAGTGCAGGGATTACAGGCATGAGCTCTCGCACCCAGCCCACATTGTTTTTAATTTGTAATTCCCTGATGATTATTGACGTTGAAAAATTTTTTAATATATCTATCAGGCTTTTGTATGTCTTCTTCTGAGAAATAGGTTCTCTAACCACTTTTTAATTCTTGCTACTGAGGTGTTTGAGTTCCTTCTATACCAGATATTAACCTCTTATCAGATGTATGGTATGCAAATATTTTCTCCCATTCCATAGGTTGTCCATTCATTCTGATGGTTGTTTTCTTTACTATGCAGAAGCTTTTTAGTTAGATGTAATCCAATTTGTCTATTTTAGCCTTGTTATCTGGGCTTTTGGGTCATATTTAAATAATCTTTGCCAAGACCAATGCCATGGAAATTTCCCCCTATGTTTTCTTTTAGAAGCTTTACAGTTCCTGGTCTTATACTTGAGTCTTCAATTCATAATTCATTTTAAGTACATTTTTATCCATGGTATGCAAATAGGGTCTAATTTCATTCTTCTCCATGTGGATATCAAGTTTCCCCAGTGCCATTTATTGAAGAGACTCTTTTCCTTATTGTGTGTTCTTGGTACGTTTGTCAAAATTCAGTTGAATGCAATTGCATGGAGTAACTTCTGGACTTTCTATTCTGTTCCATTGGTTTATCTGTTTTTATGCACTGTGCTGTTTTAATTACTATAGCTTTGCAGTATATTTTGAGGTCAAGAAATGGGATGCCTCCAACTATTTTCCTTATGCTCAATATTCCTTTGGCTATTAAGGTCTTTTGTGGTTCCACACAAATTTTAGAATTGTTTTCTCCATTTCTGTGAAAAAAAAAAATCACTGGAATTTGTATAGGGATTGCATTAAATCTGTAGATCATTTTGAGTAGTGTAAACATTGTCATAATATTAATTCTTCCAGTCCATTAACACAGGATAATATCTTTCCATTTACTTGTGACTTTTTATATTTATTTTATTAATATGTTACAGTTTTTAGTGCCATGTGTTTTACCACTTTGGTTAAATTTATCTGAATATTTTACTTTTTGTAGCTATTGTAAATGAGATTGCTTTCTTGATTTGTTTTTCAGATAGTCCATTGTTTGTGTATAGAAATACTGTAGATTTTTGCATGTATATTTGTAACCTGAAACTTTACATATAAATATATATTTATATATACACATTGACATATATATATAATATAAATATATACATACAAGTTTATAATGGCTTTATAAATAATTTCCCAAACAGAAAGCAGCCAAGATGTCCTACAAAAGGTAACTACCAACAAACTGTGTTATATCTATCCTATCCAATATTATTTAGTGACAAAAAAAATTGAGCTAATAAGCTACAAGAAGATGTCAAAAATCTATTTTAATAATTTCAAATTTTATTTTAGATTCGGGGGCACACATGCAGGTTTGCTACATGAATATATTGTATGACACTGAGAATTGGGTTAAGATTGATCCTGTTACTCAGATACTTATCATAGTACTATTATTATCATAGTACACAACACAGTTTTACAGCCTTTGACCCCCTTCTTCCCTGCTCCCTATTAGTCCCCAGTTTCTATTTTTTCATAGTCTGGCATGTGGACACTCACAGATGGTCATAGCTCTGAGGTCAGGGCACATGCAGGGTTGCGAGACATGGTGGCTCCTTTTTTGAAGGGGCAGAAGAGTAGCTACTATGTGAGGTAGAAGAGTGTATAGCTATGTCTTGTACTTGAGTTCCTCCATAGGAATGGCTATTGGTCACCTCAGTGGCAAGCAATGCTGGTATCCTCTATGAAAACAGGCTACTTGGGACTGCAATGTTTCCCAAGTATGGTTAATATTGATAACCTTCACCTTTCTTCTTTGCTCCTTGCTATCTCCTGCTCTCTGAGGTATGCCAATCTTACCAAGAACCCTACTATGTAGATTTTATCAATATGCTTGCTCTATTGTGTTGTTTCAGATTCCTTACGGACCTTTGAGCCCTCTTTGAGATATTCTGTTTTGTGAATTGCTGTATGTATTTGCTTGCAGGGGGATGAGGCTGGTATATTCTATTCCACTATCTTGGTGACATCAGAGTCAGACCCTTTTAAATAAATGGGCATTATACTCATCAGTTTGCTCAGAAAACATCCTGACTAAAAGGAGAATAGATTCTCATTAACCTAATTGCCATGAAAAGTAACAAAACTTAGAGTTTCTGAATTGTGTGGGAATCAGTGAGAATCTGATATTATTTAAAATGTTTTATTTTACAAAAACAGAGCTTCTGAATTGTTAATAAAAGTGTGATAAGGCAGACAAAATTATTTTTCATAGAACCAGAAAATAGAACACTAAATCAAAGTCAACATGGCTACAAGGAACTAACTATAATAAATTCCATTTATGAGTTAATTCATACTATGTAATTAATTCTTGTTCTGAATCATCTTGGTTCAATAGTTTGTTTTTATAAAAGCTGTCTGCTTCTAGATAAAAAGGAGCCTTGAAATTCTGACTCAGTCCACTGGCGTAATGTGAAAGTCATCTAAGTGTTGCAAGCTCAGAAACCTGTACCCACGGAGACCCACTGAAGCTTATACCTAAACACATACTTTTATAGTACCAAAGTTTAAATCACCTACTATAGTCCCTTCCCATGAGGATCTGACACTGTCATTTTTTTTTTTTTTTGTGAGAGACACAAACTGTTGTGTAGCATATATACAGAACTTTCAGGCAAGTATCAGAGTTAAATTAAAACCATCTGTAGATAACAAGAATTTAATGACTATACTAATTTATTACTGTTAATTTTAAAATATGGAATGCCTGATGAGCGATCATAATAAGAATAATGCAATCAACAAGAAAATTTGTTTTCTTCTGTGGCATGCACAACAAAGATACTAAAGCCATTCCAAAAAAAATTAGACAAAGTGTCTCTAAGAATAATGATCAAGTATATTTTCAAAGACCTCATTGAATTTTATATCTGATGTATTAAAATTGATGAGTATAACTTTGATGGAAAAACTATATATTGAGATATGAAATATTCTGAAACATAACTTTTAAATATATCAAGAGTATCAGAGAGAGACTCAGTAAGGCTAGAGTAGGCCTAGCTACCTGTATTTTTATAAAACTTCATGGGTAAGTCTGATGCACATCCCCAGTGACCTAGAAGGTGCAAAATTCAAATGGAAGAAGTTGAGTTGTGGTTAGTAAATATTTTGTATAACTGACATTTTGATTGATAACACTGTACTATTATTTCTAATATAATTTAACAAAGCACTGCCAGGACTCTAATAAATACAGGAAAACAACGGACTATCTTGGACTTAGTTTTGATCAGTGTGTTATCTGTGGATAAATACACATGATGGAGTGCATGGGCATTTAAATATCTCTAGAAAGTTCTCAAAAAACATACAATTTCAAAAGTATTCATAGTAACAATATTTTACCTATATACATTTGACCTAAAGCCAAAAATATTTATTAATAATATTTTACCTATGTAAACTTAACCTAAAGCAGGCTGACTGTCTTCATATTTGGGAACTCTTCCATGGAAACCCTTAAAATGATAATATATCAAACACCCTAATTATTTCAACTATGTCTCTTTCTATAATATGAAAGAATAAAATACTTTATGATTTTCCTGTTTTAAGCATGAAACATATATTTAAAATTTTATTTTACTTTTAAAAAATTTAGGATCCAATTTTGGAAGGCAAAATGAAGTTTTCAGAGTGTATTTAAACTCAATAAAGATAAAATATCAAGTGCCAGAAAAACAATGCTTGTTATGTATTTAAGTAAATGAAAATAAAATAGTTTAAAATAAACACATAAGTTATCAGGATTGTAAAGAAATTAGCTATTTTATAAATGAAGGAGGAATATTTGTTCTCTTAAAAAAAATGAATGTAATAAAATCAACAAAGACTGCATAAAATTGCCCTGGTAAACCACAGAACCTTTGCTATCTAGGGTTACATATGACATAAGGAAAAGCCTTTTATATTATAAGCAAACTCACTAATTACTAAACCAAAGGAAAAAAATCAAAATCAAGCAAATTTTTCTAAGATTTTAACCTATTTTATAGATTACTTTAAAACTCCTAATAAAAAGCTAAATAAAATTTACTAAATAAATCATTTAAAATAGATAATGTATTTATTATTTAATAGAAGAGACCTGGCCCTGACAAGCAGCATGCTGTTTCTTCTCCCAGAATTTATTTTTTACAATAATGTGAAAATTATATGTACCTCAGAGATGAAAGATTACATTCAAGAATTAAATATGGTCAGCTCTGAAAATTGTTGGATGAATGGGTAATTATTGCTATAATTAACAATGTGATTCAATAACATAACTATTTTGTATAGCTATAAATAGTTTTTATTTACTTATGTATTGATTTACTGAATAATAGATGGCTTTAAAAAGTCAATTCACTGAAGGAAAACAGATATAGTTTTACCTGTAAAGTTCCTATCTTCACAAAATCTGCCCAAGTTAAATCACAACTACTGAGCCATATCCTACATTCTTCAAATTGATGGGGCTGGGTGCAGAGGCTCATGCCTGCAATCCCAGCACTTTGGGAGTCTGAGGTGAAAGGATCACTTGAGGCCAGGAGTTGGAGACCAGCCTGGACAAGAAAGTGAGACTCAGTCTCTACAAAAAATAAGTAAAAAAGCCACTAATCATACCACTGTACTCCAGCCTGGGAAACAGAGCAACACTCTGTCTATTAAAAAAATAAACAAACAAACAAACAAAACTAAAATTAATGGCATAGGAACGACATGGAAGATTATATTACCTCATTTTCATTAGTCATTGTGTAACTTTTTTTTAGAATGTTCAAATTTATTCATTTATATTGACAGATAAAATTGTACTCATTTTGTAGAGCATAATGTTCTGAAGTATATATGCATTGTGGAATAGCTAAATCTAGCTAATTAACATATGCATTACCTTACATAATTATCATTTTGTGGTGAGGACACTTAGTATCCACTGTCTTATTATTTTTCAAGAATACAGTATATCATTGGGTACCTTCTTTGTAGTACAACATAATACTTTTCTGATTTTAAAATACCAAGAGGATGTTAGTTTGCAGTCCTTGTTTTCTTATTTCTTTCATTTTCTAAGGTGATTGAAGTAAAAGATAAAGGGATTATCTTCTAAACAGAATCAATTCACCCATTTATTTGGAAGATAGAATATAAAAATGCAATAACTGTTCAATCAGTGTAAGCCTTAAAAAAAAAACCTCAGAATTTTAAAAGACCTTGAGATTACTGGATTTATTGACTTTCAATTATACCTGGAGGATGAGCAAATAGACGATCATCAACCATTACTTTCCAATATGTTAATAAGCACAATTATTGATTTTTGAAACATGTTTTCATCACAGTGTAGAGGTGTAGAGCACCATACATTTTTCCAGCTTTGTTAAAGTATGACTGACAAGTCAAAATTGTAAATATTTAAGGTATACAATGTGATGTTTTGATATAAGTGTACATTGCGAAATGAATACCACAATCAAGCTAATTAACATATCCATCACCTCACATAGTTACTTTTTAATTTTTTAGCTGAGAACATTTTAGACCTACTCTCTCGGCAAATCCCCAAGTAAAAAATACACTACTATTAGCTATAGTCACCATGCTATACATTACATCTCCAGAATTTATTCATACTGCATAATTGAAACTTTATATGCTTTGACCAACATCATGCATTTTTGATTATATGATTCATAACTAAAACTGGATATTTTGGAAACTATGTCTTTCTTGAAACATGACTCTGAACAAAGCCTTAAATTGAAAGCAATTGTGTCTTTGATGTTTATGAATTCACACCTTTTTTATTCAATAATTTGTTCATCACTGTTTTTTAAATTTTGTATTTCATAAACAATAATTTTCATAGAGGGTCTGTGACTCAGGTTGTCTGAATCACAGTGCAGCTGTGTGAGGACAGAGACATAAGCACTATTGTCAGATTATATAGGAAACATATTGAACTCTAGTGTGATTATCCAAAAATTTAGACAGAAACCACTGAACAAGAAACACTTTGAATTTTGATTAAAATTTATATCCAGGAATGTTTATGATTTTGTGTCAGTCTATCTTTACAGTGTAAGGAAATATTAGAATTGTTTAATGAAATAAGAAATAAGAAAATGTAATTACCATAAACAAAAACATAAAGCAGACAGCACAGTGCCCGGCCAAAAGCGAGTGTTTAAGGATTGATAGAGGTATTATTGTTATCCCCTTCAATTAATGTCCTAAAAATGCCTGAGTAGTTGAATCCTATGTAGACCAAGGAAGAAGACGGGAAACGTATACCATGGCAACAGTTCTGTGTTGAATTTGGATGCCTCTTCACACTTGAAATGCTTGGTGGAAAGTATGACTCATGACACGCTAATTTGTATGGCTCATAAAGCAGATTATACCCCCCCAAAATAAAAACTTCCTTTTAACTAATATGTGATGAAATATGTTCAAGAAATTTGAAAAAAAAAAAGCCATATTAATTAAATCTAAAGGTAGGATTTTGTAATGTATGAACCAAAAAGTAAAAACTGTGAGGCAGAGAAATGTACCTTTCATTAATGTTTTAGTCAAGGTTCTTTAGAAAGACAGAAACAATAATATACATACATGTAGGGAGAGAAAAATAAATATATGAGAAGGAAATTCTTAAGGGAACTAGTTCACTTGATTACGGAGATTAAGTCTCGTAACACGTCATTTACAGCTGAGAACCAGGGAAGCCAGTAGCATGACTCAGACCAAGTCCTCAAGTCCTAGGGCATGGAGGCTGCTGGTCAAAGTCCCAGAGTCCAAAAGCCAAACAATCTGGAAATCTGATATCCGAGGGCAGAAGAAATGGGTCCCAGCTTCAAAAGAAACAGAGCAATAACTCACCCTTCATTTGCCCTTTTGTTCATCCAGACTTGATTGCTTAGTGCCTGCCCAGACTGAGGGTGGATCCTACTCAGCCAGGCTTAAGTGCCAGTTTCCTCCAGAAACACCCTCATAGACATACTTGGGGCAACCTAATTATTTTAATCAAATGCCAAGTCACCTGGGTTTCCTTTTCAACAGAGAGGCACAGGTTCAGTGCCTACTGAGGCATGGAGAATAATTAATGCAATTATTGAGAATAAATAATGCTTCACCAGCTACCTGCTTATCCCTTAATTCAGTCAAATTGACACCCAAAATTAACCATTACAATGAACAAATATTAATAATGGTTTACATGTCTAAGTATCTACCACTTAGTAACATTATGCTGTGCTAAGGTCTTCAAACATCCAAATGTAGGTAGATTTGAAAAAAACAAAAATTAATAATTATTTAATAGAATATAAATATACTGTAGACTAATAAAATGTAAATTTTTGACTCTTTATACAATTGTATAAAGTGCTTAATAGCAATTATGTGTTTTCATTCCTCCAAATTATAATGATTTTTATCCCCTCTTAGAGAAATATCAACATTTACCCTCAATCTTGTTGATATACTTTTCTATATTCCAAATGTTATTGCTGCAATATTATCATATATAACTTTAATGATTACTGAAGTGGATAATTAAGATAAAAAAATACAATTAATTTCCCATATGTGTGATAATTATTTATGGCTAAATATTGTTGGTTCATTTGAAATGTTATCAATCTAGGCAGAGGGAACTAAGGATTTCCTCTAATAGGTTCTACTAATTTCCACAAAATATTTTCACCACATTCAAAGCAATTCTGGAAGGAGGAAGCAGTCCTGTTCACTGATGATAAATAACTCAAGTAATTATCAAATGATTGTGTGGCAAGCCCAAACTATATTTTGCAAAGTATTTAGTTTCCTCTTTTATGCATATATTTATAGCTATAAATACTTTAAAGAGAGTTTATCCATATGTTTCTGATTCATTTACATTTAACTCATCAAAATGTTGTTTTAAAGAGCATACAAAATTAAGTAGATTTTTAAGTCTACATTTATTTTTGAGAACTCGGAAGACAGAGTTTGCTAGCTATAAATTAATTCAAGAAAATATAAATATTTTAGGCTTGGCATAAGACATTTTCTCTTCTTGGAATTTCCAATAATTAGATAAATTATTTTTCCTTTTGTTCTTGAAAGCTAACCCACTGAATTCTTTCAGAAGGCTGAAATTAGACTGCGCTTCATAAGAAATCTCAAACCTGGAAGGATTTAGGCTGATCCCAAAGTAGGTATAATTAAGAAATAAAGGTATTAATTTCCATGGTGGATTTAAGAGTATACTACCTTCATTATTATTATTTTTAGTTTTAAACCTCTTCTTTATTTACATAGAAAATAACAAGTACAATAAAAACACAGTTATGTGTTCTTAAGACTTGGCTAATTTGTAAATTTTCTTCTCCATGTTTTAATTCTTAGAAGGAGGTTAGCTCCTACTCTATTTGCTGTTACAATTTTATACAAGAATATATGGACCCCACTTAAGAACTTTATTATAAACTTTCTTTCTTATTGAAATGATAAATTTTGTGCTCTAAGTATATTGTAATTTTCTGAGGAACAAAATATGGAAATTAGATCTGAAATGCCTATGAAATTGGAATTATTAGAAAGAGAATTATCTACAAATAATTCAAATTTTTTCACTTGCCTTTCTTGGTAAATGAATATAAAATGCATTAATATTGTTAGGTTTCCTTTTGAGTTTAAATATTAAATATACAATTATAAAGACAGTGTTCAGCAGTGTAACTATTATCATTATGGCTTTTCAAATTTTTAGTGGTATCAGTATTATTTGATTACCAATTAAAATTATTCTATAGCACTTAAAGAAAAAAAATTCTGAAGAAGCTTATATATGGAATATATAAGGTTAAAAACATACCAGTTACTGAGTACAGGTAATAAGTATCATCAATGGCATTGTCATCAATCATAATTATTCATTACATTTTTGATTGGCTTTAATATTTAATATGAATTTTATCATAGTTTATTCCATTGCTATCATATTTATTAGTTATTATTACATAGAATGTTTAATAAAGAACAGCAGTCATGAAATTCATTTTCAATTGGTAGAAGAAAATACATTTGTTATCTATCTGTATTGAGTTAGAATTTAGATAATATATCATTAATGTTGTCAAATTCATTGGGATTCTGGTTTCGTCTGTGTTAGTTTCCTTGGCCTGGCTTAACGAATTACCACAAACACAATGTCTTAAACAACAGAAAGGTATTATCTGTCCAAAAGTCTGAAATCATGTTGTCAGCAGGGCCATGCTCCCTCCAGAGGCATTAGAGGAGAATCCTTCCCTGCCTCTTCCAGCTTCTAGTGTCTCCAAGTGCTCCTTGGCTTGGCTTTTCATGACTCGGATCTCTGCCTTGGTCTTAGCATAGCCTTCTTCCCCGTGTGTCCTCCTTTTCTGTCTGTCTAATCTCCCTCTGCTTCATTCTCATAAGAATAGCTGTCATTGGTTTTAGGGAACACCCAGGTAATCCAGTATGATTTAATTTGATATCACTAAGTTAATTGTATCTGTAAAGACCCCCCCACCCCCGACCCCAGTAAGGTCTTCACAGACTCTAGGAGTGAGGTCATGAACATATCTTTTCAAGGAGACACTATTCAACTCACTACCTGTCAGTAGATGAATACAATAGATTAACACTTCTCTGGCTAGCGCAGAAATCAAAGAGATGAAATGCAACACTAGCCTGGCTTTTAGGCAACCGCTGCCACTGTGTAAATCAGGATCCAATTAAGACAGAGAAACCTCACTGTAACTTGAATGGGAAAAAGCTAATATACTGAATTAGTTATTATAACAGGATATATGAATAATGAAGAGATTAGTAAGAGTTAAAGACAACTCTAATGAATACTGGAATAGCAGCTGTAAAGGAGAAGGCATTACTTTTGTATTTAAGGCAGGGCAAAAGAGAACCCTGCCCTGTCAGGGCTGAGATCTGAACTTTGTTATAGAGGGCATTGCTGTGATCACTAAAGGACAGAGAAATTGCTGTGGTACCAGGCATACTGGCAGAACTTGTTAGAGAGCTGCCTTTTAGCATGCCAGAAAAAGCCATTCATAAGTAAGTGCTATACTGGGGAGGCTCCAGTACGAAGCTACTGACTACTAGAGGGGTTTCAGACACCATGTTCTGTAGGAGCTGAGTACTGGGGAAGCCATCTGCACTACAGGAGCTGGTTGCTGGGAACTTGTATGCAAGAACTATCCAATGAAACAACCCAGAACCAGGAAGAAAAACTCGTTCCTCCTGCCATTTCTCTTAAGCATCCTCTACTGACAAAGCATAGCAGAGCATAGCTGGTGAAAAAAAAAAAAAAACAAGTTTAAATGGATTACCTGTGTTTTCATAGAGCAAGCAATGAAGGGTGGGTTTAGATCTGAGAGGCAAAAGATTGATAAATGACAAATATTTGGAGAATAAAACTTGAATGAAACATGGTGTCTCATCCCTGTAATTCCAACATTTTGAGAGACCAAAGTGGGAGGATCACTTGGCGCCAGGAGTTTGAGACCAGCCTGGCCAATATGGTGAAACCCTGTTTCTATAAAAAACAAATTTAAAAATTACCCAAGCATGATGATTCACACCTGTAATCCCAGCTACCCAGGAGACTGAGGTGGCAGGATCACTTGAGCCCAGGAGTTCAAGTCTGTAGTGAGTCATGATCATGCCACTGCACTCCAGCCTGAGAGAGTGAGACCCTATCTCAAAAAAAAAAAAAAAAAAAAAAAAAAAATTAAAAACAGGAAACTTGAGAATATAATTGGGAAAACTAAATTTATGAAAGTCAATCATGTTTTATATATAGGTGAAGAAGAATTGATGGTGTGGATGGCATTTTCACAATCAAGTCCTCTTGGTGAGTTCATGAAAAATGTATGAAATTTTCTACATGTCTTTTTCTCATATAAGACATTCGGCTCATCATTTCTTATGAATTATTTCTCTTACATTTTCAATGTTTTATTTCAGACCTCCAACTACCTTTCTATATTTCTGCAATATAAATAAGTTTTTAAATTTATAGGCTTAAATTATAACCTACCTGGCCATTTTCCCTATGTCTTCTGATGCCAAAAGGATGAGGAAATATGAGAACTATTTTATAAAATGAAGTCAAAAAAGAAACTTCAAGTGCTCCTATTTCTCCACATCCTCTCCAGCACCTGTTGTTTCCTGACTTTTTAATGATTGCCATTCTGACTGGTGTGAGATGGTATCTCATTGTGGTTTTGATTTGCATTTCTCTGATGGCCAGTGATGATGAGCATTTTTTCATGTGTTTTTTGGCTGCATAAATGTCTTCTTTTGAGAAGTGTCTGTTCATGTCCTTTGCCCACTTTTTGATGGGGTTGTTTGTTTTTATCTTGTAAATTTGTTTGAGTTCATTGTAGATTCTGGATATTAGCCCTTTGTCAGATGAGTAGGTTGCGAAAATTTTCTCCCATTTTGTAGGTTGCCTGTTCACTCTGATGGTAGTTTCTTTTGCTGTGCAGAAGCTCTTTAGTTTAAGTAGATCCCATTTGTCAATTTTGTCTTTTGTTGCCATTGCTTTTGGTGTTTTAGACATGAAGTCCTTGCCCATGCCTATGTCCTGAATGGTAATGCCTAGGTTTTCTTCTAGGGTTTTTATGGTTTTAGGTCTAACATTTAAGTCTTTAGTCCATCTTGAATTGATTTTTGTATAAGGTGTAAGGAAGGGATCCAGTTTCAGCTTTCTACATATGGCTAGCCAGTTTTCCCAGCACCATTTATTAAATAGGGAATCCTTTCCCCATTGCTTGTTTTTCTCAGGTTTGTCAAAGATCAGATAGTTGTAGATATGCGGCGTTATTTCTGAGGGCTCTGTTCTGTTCCATTGATCTATATCTCTGTTTTGGTACCAATACCATGCTGTTTTGGTTACTGTAGCCTTGTAGTATGGTTTGAAGTCAGGTAGCATGATGCCTCCAGCTTTGTTCTTTTGGCTTAGGATTGACTTGGCGATACGGGCTCTTTTTTGGTTCCATATGAACTTTAAAGTAGTTTTTTCCAATTCTGTGAAGAAAGTCATTGGTAGCTTGATGGAGATGGCATTGAATCTGCAAATTACCTTGGGCAGTATGGCCATTTTCACGATATTGATTCTTCCTACCCATGAGCATGGAATGTTCTTCCATTTGTTTGTATCCTCTTTTATTTCCTTGAGCAGTGGTTTGTAGTTCTCCTTGAAGAGGTCCTTCATATCCCTTGTAAGTTGGATTCCTAGGTATTTTATTCTCTTTGAAGCAATTGTGACACTGTTGGTGGGACTGTAAACTAGTTCAACCATTGTGGAAGTCAGTGTGGCGATTCCTCAGGGATCTAGAACTGGAAGTACCATTTGACCCAGCCATCCCATTACTGGGTATATACCCAAAGGACTATAAATCATGCTGCTATAAAGACACATGCACACGTATGTTTACTGCAGCATTATTCACAATAGCAAAGACTTGGAACCAACCCAAATGTCCAACAATGATAGACTGGATTAAGAAAATGTGGCACATATACACCATGGAATACTATGCAGCCATAAAAAATGATGAGTTCATGTCCTTTGTAGGGACATGGATGAAATTGGAAATCATCATTCTCAGTAAACTATCGCAAGAACAAAAAACCAAACACCACATATTCTCACTCATAGGTGGGAATTGAACAATGAGATCACATGGACACAGGAAGGGGAATATCACACTCTGGGGACTGTGGTGGGGTGGGGGGAGGGGGGAGGGATAGCACTGAGAGATATACCTAATGCTAGATGACGAGTTAGTGGGTGCAGCGCACCAGCATGGCACATGTATACATATGTAACTAACCTGCACAATGTGCACATGTACCCTAGAACTTAAAGTATAATAAAAAAATAAAAATAAAAATAAAAATAAAGAAACTTCAAGAAGCAAATACAGCATGAAGAAAGACCTACAGGAAAGATTCAACTTGCAAACTCTTGAATTAAACTGGTTGTATAAAATGTAGTGCTGTGCAGGAATAAGCATTTAAAATTCTCACAAATAACTGGACAAAATGGTCTAATTGTTACTATGTTTTGATTATGTGAAACCTAAAAAACTACAAACATAAGCCTAAATTTACTTATTCATATTTTTAAGTGCATACTGTAAAGTCTTAAGTTGAAAACACATATTCATTAAAATGATTATGACACAGTTTCTGCCATAGTCTGGAGGTAAGAAAAACAGAAAATTTTATTTTTTACACATTAGCTATATATCAAAAAGCAGTAATAATAAAACAAACCCCTTGTGGCTGAAAATGACTCACTTATAAATTTTTCTTTTAAATATTACTTTGCTGAATATACCAAAAATGGTGACAGTTGACACTTTGTATGTGAGTGGAATTTTGGGTGTAAGCATTGATTTGTTAGGAAATAATCAGTTTCACTTGGCTTTCTAAGAAGTCTTCAGTGACCTTTTGTCAGCCAGATGGATTTGAGCACCAAGATGCTTTTCCATTTCATGGGATAATGAGCAGTTAGTTAAATGAGCTATAAAGTACATAGTAATTGTGCCAGAACAAATTTCATTCTTTAATGAATTTGATATAGCCAAAGAATTCATCATTTTCCCTCTTATTCCACTCACTTCAATGCTTCCTTTGTTAGTTCAAGAAAGAAATTTAACAATCATGATCAAAGATAAATTATTTTTTCTAATTTTTAAAAAACTTTGTGAACATTGCTGCACTGGACCCATCTGGAGACCTAAAGAGTGGAATATTCCAAGGCACAGTCATATCCCTTTAGCTTTATGCAAATCTAATAGAACTATGATATCCAGTATCCTGACCACTATTCATATATGGCTATTTTAATTTAAACTAAATAAAACATAAAATATAAAATACAATTCCTCATTTGTACTAGATGCATTTCAAGTGCTTAGTAGATATATATTATCTGGCCATTACTATATTGAATTATGTTATATTAGACTTAACTTACAAACTCTTGAATTAAACTAGTTGTATAAAATGTAGTACTGTGCAAGAATAATCATTTAAAATTCTCACAAATAACTGGACAAAAAGGTCTCATATTACTATGTTTTGATTCTGTGAAACCTAAAAATTTACAACCATAAGCCTAAATTTACTTACTCATATTTTTAAATGCACACTGTAAAGTGTTAATTAAGTTACAAACACATACTAATTAAAAGATGAATATGACAAAGTTTCATTATATTAACATTAATATATTACTATAATGGCTATCATAGTTAACACTGCAGATTTAAATATTTTCAATAGCATAAAAATTTCTATTGGACAAGTATATTAAATCATGTTTTCTTTAGTTTTTATGCTTTTCCACCTATCAGAATTATTTTTTAAAACAAAACATTGGCCAAAAAATGAACTTTGTGTTGGTATTCTGTAAGCAATATAATATGAGTATCATATTAATGTAATGTTTTCTGAACAAGATGATAGTTTTTTTATGACACATCATTTTACCTATTTTTGAAAGCATGTATTAATGAAGAAATTGTAACAATTAAGATATAATAATTATGATGAACACAGTGTGAGAGTAAAATTTTTGTGATAATTTTTAACTTAAAAGCATTAAGTATCCTGTAATCCCAGCAATTTGGGAGCCTGAAGCGGGAGAATCACTCGAGCCCTAAAGTTCCAGACCAGCCTGGGCAACATCATGAGACCCTCATTTCTATTAAAAATAAATAAATAAATGATTTTTAAAAACCCGTGAAATATAAAAATAATGGAGATCACTTTTTGGTTTGGTCTGTCTTCCAATACCCTATTTGGAGGTTTACCAAGTTTGAAGAATAAGAAAAAAATTGTAACACAGACAGCCAGGACACAGGATTACTCCTGGTTCCATTATGAACTGGGTATTTGTCATTTTATAATGTTTCTATTAAAACTGATATACATAGGACAAAGACTTACACATGAATTATCTTTATTACTCTGGATCATGAATCCCAGATGAAAACCTAATATGTCTGGCTAAACTGTTTGAAGGATTTTTTTTTTTTTTCCTTAAAGGAAGGCCTAAATTCTAAGAGCAGGCTTCAAATCGCCTACATTGATGCTTCCCATCTAAAAACACATACAAATTTTGAATTTTATAATTTCTTTGTGCATTGAATTGTGTTACCCAAAAAAAGACATGTTGAAGTTCTAAACACCAGAACCGATGAATGTGACCTTATTTGGAAATGGGATCTTTGTAGAGGTAACCAAAGTAAGATGAGATCATACTGGCTCAGTCTGGGCTCTAAGTCCAACGACTGCTGTCTTTAAAAGAGGGTACTTTACTATTGTGAATAGCACAATAGCAAAGACTTGGAACCAACCCAAATGTCCAACAATGATAGACTGGATTAAGAAAATGTGGCACATATACATCATGGAATACTATACAGCCATAAAAAATGATGAGTTCATGTCCTTTGTAGGGACATGGATGAAATTGGAAACCATCATTCTCAGTAAACTATCGCAGGAACAAAAAACCAAACACCGCATATTCTCACTCATAGGTGGGAATTGAACAATGAGATCACATGGACACAGGAAGGGGAATATCACACTCTGGGGACTGTGGTGGGGAGGGGGGAGGGGGGAGGGATAGCATTGGGAGATATACCTAATGCTAGATGACGAGTTAGTGGGTGCAGCACACCAGCACGGCACATGTATACATATGTAACTAACCTGCACAATGTGCACATGTACCCTAAAACTTAAAGTATAATTAAAAAAAAAAAAAAAAAAGAACAGAGAAGAACAAGAGAATAAAGGAAAAAAGGAGAGAGAGGAAAAAAAAAAAAAAAAGAGGGTACTTTGGACACAGGCAAATCAGACGTACAGGGGTAAGATAGCTATGTCAGGACCAGAGGCAGAAATTGGAGTTAAGCTGCCACAAGCCAAGGGACATCAAGAATTGCTGCCAACCACCAGACACTAAATGAGACATGGTAGCATTCTTTCTTAAAGCCTTTGGAGGGAAGAAGACTCCACCAACACTTTGATTGCAGACACCTAGCCTCCAGGAGTGCGAGAAAATCAATTTCTATTGTTTAAAGCTACCCAGTTTGTTGTATTAATAATTTGTTATGGCAGTCCTAGGAAACTAGTGCATAGTCTGGTAGTTTACAAAGACTATACCACTGAGAAGCCAATGTGAAAGCCTAAAAGCCACACGGTTTGGCCCATAAAAAGCTTACTGCCTATGGAACATGCTTAATTAGTGCTATTTCTTTGATCAGGCCTAGCATCCCCCCTTGTCCTTGGTTGTGATGTAAGGTGATGTACTTGTCTCTGCTTATGGTCATTATCAGAAACTATAGCAATGTAATATATTCAGTGAATAATAAGAATCTGAATTAAATGAATTAAGTTGACCTGAATTAATATCATCTCGATATCTTTATTCTTTCCATTTATCTATTGCATTATAAATTTTGAAGCATTTTGATTTACAATTTTATTTCATCTTCACAAACACTATATGAAGCTGGAGAGATAGAACACACAAAAGAAAGTAGTCTGCTCATTCCTTGAGGACAGAACTGCCATTTTATACTGAATATTTTCAATGAAAGATGCTATGTGGAAAGAAGATGATGTTTTTAACTGACTCTCCATTTCCCAGATAGAAGAGAAGCTAAGTCTAGAGTGGTAGACGTGAATTTGAACGTGCCTGCCTGTGAATCTCTTTCTTTCTTTTTTCTTTTTCCACACTTCATCTGTGAATAAAGTTGGTTCATTCACTATGAATAGGCTATTTCTGCCATGAGTTCATAGGTGTTAAATGCATTTAACCTTTTCTATAATAATTTCCAAATTATGTCTAAATTTACTGATTCAATATATGGGAAACAGATCCACTAATTTGGGAAATTAAAAAAGATATTTAAGCACAATATACCCAGATTTCTTTTAAAATAATCCACCCACATAGGGAAGATAGGAGAGGAACTAAATTTTCTCATTGGTTTGCTTTTATAAATTTCTAGAACAGAGATTACTATCCATGGTACATTTGGCCACAGAAAATTCAAAACTGAGCAAAATAAAAGACCCTTTGGTGATTAAGGTAACAATATGCAGTGGTACAAAAAGGGTATTAAGAAGTACAACAAATAAACAATTTTCACAAGAAGAGCAAGAATTAGTATTCTGGGCAGTTTGCCACCCGGAGTGTTCATCAGAATATGATGAAATAATTCACATTTTTGTTTATTTGCCTGAAGGAGCTTACCCACCCTAAAATCAATCTTATAAAAAGCATAAGTGCATATTCTATGCAATATAACTTCATACAAAACTGAAGCAAAGTGATCTCATGCAACACTGGATGGCAAATGTTGGGCTTTCTCTATATATAAAATAAATAGAAACAGAAATAGATGAAAAACAGCTGGAGTTCAGAATTATATGAAGTCCATATTTCCATGCACCTTTAGGTGTGATGTTATTTTGACTAAATGTTAGTATCCTCAAGGAACTTTCAGGTGCTTTGACTAATAAGTAGCTCCAGAGCCATCATAAAACAATGCACCAGGAAAGTATGTGCTCCACCCTAAAACTAAGTGCCCAAAATTCAAACAGTTTATTATGCCCAGAATGACTTACAAATAAAACATAAGTTCAGTTTTATAAGGCGACATAAAAGATTGTTACTTAAGAGGCAAACTGGTCTAGAAAGCTTTATTGCCCCCATAATTTATTATGGAATTAATCCATTGCGTGTTTGCACCAGGTCACCTCGCTGAAGGGAACCTGCATCTTATCGAAATCAGATTGAGAGGTACAAATTGAGAATCCCTAATGGAGTACTAAGCAGACTTCAAAAAGCCAAGCATATGGACCGTGTTATAGTTTCTGAATGGTTTCACTTGAGTCATAAAGTTAGCCCCCGCCTCTCCCCAAAAAAGTAGGGCTATTTTTCCTACCAGTCTGTGAATAATCTATAAAGACAAAATATTTTTTTGTGAAAATACAAAAGCAAGTTATTTTGTTTCAAAATAAAGATTTCTTCGGAATGAGCTCTTGCTTTTCTACTCTTTTGGTTCCTTACTATCAGAATTCTGAAAATATATTTGAATATCTCATCGTAAAATATGATAATTATATGAGCTAATACCTATGTTAATTAGCTCAATTTAGCCATTCTACAATGTATACATATTTCAAAACATCATGTTGTACACAGTGAATATGTATATATAATTTTTAATTAGTAATTAAAATTTAAACAATATATATATTTGCACAAAAATGTCAGAGGAAGTATAATAGGACATTTATTATTATATACTTAGGAAGATGTCAATTACTTCTTAAGATACAACAGTTTTATCCATCAAGCCTTACTGACTGCAAACCTAAGGTGACATTTTATGGAAGACTTGCTGACTGCAAAGTATCAGAACATCACATATTTAAATGATGCTCTTTTTAACAAAAAGTGGCATTATACATTAGACAAAATATCAGGTTAGTGAGTCAGAAAAACTGAATTTGGATACTTCATCACTTATTAATCATCTAAGCTATTATAAAATTCATTTATCTTCAACTCTAAATTAGGGAAAATAATAACTACAAGCCTTCTGAAGGTTAAATGTCATTGAGAGGGTCAAATGAGATTCAGTTTGTGAAAATATTTACATCTGTAAATTGTATTAACCTATAAGGCATTTTTATTAATAGATCTACTTAATCCATGAATAAATGATTCATGTAGCAATGTTTAATACCATTTTAAACTTTCTAAAAGAAAGCATAAATCTTTAGTTAACGATGGTATCTTTTTCATACTTCAATAATACCTAAACTATGTCATTAATACATTAAGTGAATATCACTTCCTTCCATAAATATAGGTGATATACATACACAAAAGTAAACATATATTTCCACATATATGTTAACTTTACATTTACAGGTACCAGTAAAATCTAGAAATTGTGTCTATAAAAAATATAGAAGAAATATGTGTATATAATAGCCAAATCTCCCCTATCAATTTTTTTCCTAAAAGTGAGTATAAAATAAATATATTTCTACTTAAAGCATTTTTTCTTAAGTGTTTTGTTTTATTTTGGATACCTTTATACATATGATGAATAAAAGGACAGGATGACAGTATTAAGATAAAGCACCATGTTTCAAGGCATTAAGATAAGGTAAGAGGGAAGGTGTTTTCCTTTACTCTCAGGTTTACATCCTACTTTATCTTTGATACCCATCTCTTTATATTTTTCTTTGTCAGTATTTTACTGACAATAAATTTTGGTAGCTTTAACTTTCTTTTAACAATAATTTTTACTTATGTTGATTTATAAAAAAGAGCTTAGCCTTCAATCCTACCATGAAGTATTTTATGTCTTTAGAGACTTGAAAGCCCAGCAATTTATTTTTCTCTGTCTCTTATGTGCTACTGCAAGCCTGGAATTTGACCCATAACTTCAACTAAAGACCCCATTCACCTATCACTTTTCAAAATGTTTAACCAAACACTCTTAACTAGTCAAAAGTCAGCGATAGGAGAGCCTCCTACTGTGCATCTTCAGTGTGGCGTGGCTCACTGACAGCTGGAGAGACGGCTCTTGCTAAGCATATTTGATGTGCCCTGGTTTATGTCTCCTCTGTTTTACTGGAAAAGCCTTCAACAGGTCACTGGCTGGGCCTTCACAGCTGAGCACTAAAGATGAGAAGTGTAAATGATGATTAAGTGTGGGCACGACTCTCAGATTTCCAGAGTCCCAGCCTCACAGGTGTTCACATTGCAGCTGGAACTAAGGTCTCATTTTATCAGAAGTTGAGTATCTGCTTTAATTGTGGAAAGTATAAGGTATTGACTAAAAGGCAGTGGTTTTGCTGATCGATGCTGTTGTAGAGAAAGCTGATAAGTTTAACAAAATGTTTTAGAGAAAAATCTTCTGGAGCCAGTGAAGTATAAAGGAAAATAATGGCATACAGTCTGAGACAAATGAATTAACACTAATATATCGATAGTACATTGAGCAGTATAAAGAATTACACCAAGATGATGAAGAATATGAATGCCTTGTTAGGTGATTTAGACAACTGAGGGTATTTCACTTGTAATGAACTTGTGATGGCTATTTTCAAATATTTAGAAGGGCTGTCTACAGAAGAGTGATATAATTGTGTGAGTGTGTGTGTGGCGGGTGGGGGGGGGTTGCCTGATTCCAGAGGGCAGAATATGGGCTAGAAAATGAAGATAATATGGCTTCAGATTCAGTTCAAAATAAGAAAGAACTTCCTAGCCACTTAGACCATACACAAATGGAAGTTGGAGGTTATAAATCTCCATTATTGAAGTGTAAAAGTGAAAGTTGTGACTATTTTGTATGGTGGTTGGAGTGGCAATTCCTACATTGGATATAATTATGGATTAAATGAAATATGTGATACTTTGATCCTAATATTTAACAATTCTAATAGTAAATGAGATTTGAGTACACAGAGGAAATGTATTTTAGGCCAAATCCTAGGGTCTTTAGTAAATAAGAAAGAGTATAGTTTTGGGAGTTACCAGGAGTTAAATCCTAGTATCTATATATTGGTCACTTGAGAAAATCATTTAAATGCTATTATAGCTTTCTCATATCTAAGTGAAAAATGATATCAAATTGTAATAGTGAGGATTAAATTACTGGAAAGTTTATTACATTACAAGGACAGTGCCTAGCATAAAATAAACATTTAATGAAAGCTACCTAGCAGTACTACTTTCATCTAATATGTTTCAATATGTCATATGAATGTCAGTGTACCACTACACATGACATTTTACTCATGTAGCTGGTGCATGTGTGTGTGTGTGTGTGTGTGTGTGTGTGTGTGTGTGAGCTGGATCACCTCCCTTTCTCTTTCCTCCACCATTAAATGCAAGCTCTGGTTATGCTACACTGGCATCATGGTAACAGCCTAATCTCCCACTCCCAACTTGGTTTGAACTTTTCTCTCAAATTACATATTGGGTTCAATAATGCAATGCTCTTTTCAAATCTCCCTAGTTGATTCATCCTTTGAATATGAAAAATCACTAAACATATACTAAATCATTATATTAGTTTGAAGATTAAACCCAATTATTTAATAACAGAATTATGGATTTTTCTGGTATTTGCCCTTAACAATAGAACCTCTACTTTTGTTGCAACATTAGCTGGTTTTTTCCATTCCACTAAATAGGCATGTTTGCCTCTTCTCCATTAATCCTCTGCTTGATGCCCTGAAGTTCTTACCTACACCATTCAGCTACTATGAGAACTGCCTTCTTTATTCACTCAGCCTAACCCTCTAACTCTAATACTTTCTGCAGAACACGTTTACCAAGACATCTTTCCAGATAAACACCAACTGCAGACCACCCTGCTCATAAGTTGATGCATATCTTGTTTTACTGAATTTATGTCTGCTGCTTGAGTATCTGCATAGTTTTCCCCAGAAACTTTTAACGTATACTCTATTTTCTCTATAATTCTTACTATTGGGTAATGCATGCAATAAACACTATACACATAGCTGAGACTAAGTCTCTTAAATATTCACTGACCTTTTATTTGTGAGAAGTACTGAATTTTACAATTCATGATAGGATTACAAAATATGAATCTATAAAAGCAAAGCAATTATGAATAAAGGAAGTGGTTAAAGAAAATTTGATAATGTCTGAGAATGTAACAAAATATTAACTTATAAATATATGTATGTGTGTGTGCTGCGAAGAAGGAGATTGTTCATATTATACAGATAGAATATATATTCTTTATAAACATGCATTTTTAGGTCTTTCTTAGGTAAATAAAAAATAAAAGTTATTACAAACATGTTATATATAGTGTTTGATGGTAAAGTAACTCCTGCCTAAAGAAAATAATTGTCTTTCCTATTTTAAACTAATTTTTTTATAGCTCTTGGCACCTGATTTTTTTTTTAAATCCAGGGAAATTTATTTTTTAGATAATGTTTAAGTCGGGAAAATTTGAGATGAATGTAAAACATTGTCCGGGAAGAATTACTATAATTAGTAAAAAGTATGTGTACGAGAAATACTGTGGTAGACAGTAGTAGCTCCCCAAAGATGTCCACATCCTAATCTTTTGGACTTGTGCTTATGTTACCTTGCATTGAAGAAGAGTCTTTGCAGATGTGACCAAATTAAGGAACTCGAAATGGATAGATTAGCCTGCATTATCCAGGTGGCCCAATGCAATTGAAGAGTTCTTAAAAGAGTTAGAGAAGGAGAAGGGAAGATGAAAGCAGGGAGTCAGAGGATGTGATTTAGATTTTAAAATGCTATTCTGCTGGCTTTGAAGATGGGGAAGGGGGTCATAAGCCAATGAATGCAACCAGCTTCTAGAAGCAAAAATGGAAAGGAAACGGATTTTCCCCTAGAACCTCCAGAAGGAATGCATGTCTGTTGACAGCTTGATTTTGGCCTAGTAAAACCAATTTTAAACTTCTGAATTCTGGAATAGTAAGAAAAGAAATTTCTGTTGTTTTAAGCCACTAAGTTTATGGTAACTTACAAGAGCATCAACAGGAAAGTATTACAAATGGTAGCTAAAGATTTTGTCGTGATCATTAGCTCCTGTACATAAGTTTAGAAATGAGTCGACCTAAAATTATGATTCAGTGGTGAAATTTGCCTTATGAAGAAATTGTCAGAAACGCAGGGAAAAAAAAAAAAAAAAAAGAAGAGCCTGTAATCCCAGCACTTTGGAAGGCCAAGTCGGGCAGATCACAGGGACAGGAGATCGAGACCATCCTGGCTAACACGGTGAAACCCCGTCTCTACTAAAAATACAAAAAAAATTAGTTGGGCATGGTGGCGGGCGCCTGTAGTCCCAGCTACTCAGGAGGCTGAGGCAGTAGAATGGCCTGAACCCAGGAGTTGGAGCTTGCAGTGAGCCGAGATCGAGCCACTGCACTCTAGCCTGGGGGACAGAGCGAGACTCTGTCTCAAAAAAAAGATGAAGCAAGAAATTGTGTTTCTTCTTCATTGATATAAGTCTGCCTTTGCAAGCTATAGCAATGGCTGGCTTCATAAACATGTGACCTGTCCAGTCATACAGCGCCCAAACTTGTGTAAAAGGCCATATGCTTGTGTAAATGCTCTGTTGTTATTTTTAAAACTCTAAACAATTCTTGAATTAGGCAACTTGAATTTTCATTTTGAAATGGCCCCTGCAAATTATGTGATTAATCCTGGCAGTAGTCTTACTGTTTTACTGTAATGTTAATACAATATTCACTCAGAAAGACAAGAATTATAAGTTACAACAAAAAATAATTACAAGGAAAAGAACAAGGAGAAAAAGAAGAAAAACAAATAAATGCAACATCACTATAAAATATTCTGTATATATAACCTCTCTCCCCTTCCAAATATTTATACAGCATTTATGTAACCAATAATTATGATAGTTCAGTCATGGTCAACTTCTATGTAGTGGAGCTAAGAAAGTAAAATGCATTTCTGGACTTTCAATTCAATATGCCTGGACTGAAATACATAATATTGTGACATAGTTAAAATACTCCAGAAAAAAACACTGTAGAATGATTGTATAGCAAGTAGAATTACATATTTTCAAGGATACAAGATGCCATCATAGGAAAATAATTACAAAATTTGAATTATTGAAAAATCCATAAAAAACAATCAATCACAATAAAATAAAATCAGTAAGGAAAGTTAAACCTGATGATATTTGTGTAAGATAAGTTCCTATACATTACAGAACCACGTATCATCGAAAAAAAGTTTCATAACCAACTTCACCCTATCATTATATAAATATTCCTGATTCCTGAAATCCTAAGCCAGACTTAAATCCTAACTATCAACAATGAAAGACTATTGCCCATTAGCCTTTCCTTTCTGGAACCTATGTTAATCCAAATAAAATATTTAAATCAGCTGGTCAAGCAAAGATTCTAAATATGGCATAGCAATTTATAAATTTTATATATATAATTCAAATATATATATTTGAATATATATTCAAAAATATGTGCAAAACTATTGTTTCATTTGTTATATAATTAGGAAAACAAATAATGCATAAGTTAAGCTAATAAGGAAAAATATTCCTTTAGAATATATACTGGAAAGTTGCATAAGTAATAGCTGCTTTATTTTAGGGGAGAGGGTATAAAACAGAAATCCCAAAAGTACCACTTGTTAATATTTAAAACCAACTTTACTGACATAATTAATAAAGCCCATTTGCAAGACTATCAAATTAAAGGAAAATAATTGCATTTGGCTGAACCCAAAACAAAGCTGATACTTCAAAATATTGCCTAAAATAGTATTTGAATTGAAAAATCATTGAATTGAGGAAAAAAGGTCTGTGTTTGATTGCCAGGTGTCTTTCTGTGTTATCTTGAAAGGTCTTTTTTTTTTCTCTAACTTTTTATTTTCTCATCGACAAAAAAGAAGTCTAGACCAAATCATTTCGAAGGTGTTTTCCAACTCAGTTCAAAATCACTTCAGCAGAAATTTCCCAAAGAGAAAGTTGTTGCTTCTATGACTGGTTGAAGGATAATAAACCATGGGACTGAAGACCTTGCTTTTCAAATTCTATCACCTCTTAAATGAGAATAAATTTAAATGTTTCTCAAGTCCAGAAATGATCTAAGGAAATACTCTAAAATTTAAGTTCCATAGCCATACCTATTGTGTCAATAATTTAGACTCATGCACAAATCTGACTTATCTTAATAAGAGTTGCTATTCATTTAAAGATAATTTTCTTTTAAAATTTAAGAATAGTTTAGTTGCTTGACTTTCCATACTAATGTAGCCTTAGTTTAACAACCAACATCATGTGTTATCAGAAGTCTAATGTCAAACTGACAGTCAGATTATTTATTTTTCTAACCACAGGCAGGAAGGATGTTTCTAAATGAATTATTTATAACCCCATCTTGAATAAAATGTCTTATTGTTTTCCTATTTAAAACAACTCTTATAAAAATGTTTATTTGAGTTTAAGAAGCAGTTTACAATTTCCTACTAAATAAAGCCCACGTATTTTAGCCTGTCATTCAAGAGCCTACACAACTTGGCGCCAATCTATCTTTAGAGCTTTATCACCTACTACCTAGTTTGACACATCCCAAACTTCTAAAACAATTAACTTGCTAAATATGTTTGGTGTTTTTCTGCTTACCTTCTTTGTTCAAGCTACTCCTCTTGCCATAAATACCTTCCAAGTTGTCTTTGCATTTCCAAGTCTAATCTACTTCAGGTCTAAGATTTAGTGCTGAATCATTAATAAAAACATTCCAGAGCTAGAGCTTGCCTACATATCCATCTGCCCTTATCACTTCAGTGTCAGAAATAATCTCAATTTTTTTTACAATTCTAAGATAATATCTTCAAAATATCCTTAAGATTATTTAGCACATCCAAATATTTATTTTAAAAATGTTGTACACATTTAGCTCTCTGATGAGGTTGAAAGCTTCTTGAGACAAGAAATCATAATTTTAGCTGTTTTATTCTCATGTCATCAAGTATTTCTTAGTTTGAGAATATGCACACATTGCAAAATAATACATGAATGAGTATATAACTTGTAAAAAGAATGGAGGGGGTCCTGTTGCTTTAATTCTATAATAACAATATTATAGGGTGAAGTGGATAGTCTTTTAACATAATGGTTCTATTATAACTGCTTGTATAGTCTTAAATTATTCAGTATAACTGCTTTTAATTTTTAGGATGTCCTGAGAAGATTTCATATGAAAGTAAGAAATTACCAGGTAAAACACTACTTTTTGAAGTTCTTACAATCCTAGAAGACAAGTCATTACTCTTTAGTTCCCCTTTCCCCAGACTTTTCCCAAGGCTATAATAATGTTTTATTATTTATATAGAGATTTATATTTTCAAAGCACTTTAGAGCCATTAATTTGTAAAGCCAAACAACATACAGTAGAACAAGGTGAGTGTGATTAAATGCATTTGACAGATAAGAAAACAGCAGTAATGCCAAAGTGGTCTTTTCACAGCCAGTGGAAATCTGGAGTTTCCTTGAGTGCAAAAACTGTAATTTGTCCCCTGCAAAAATAATCAAAACAGTAGACCTGATTTTATTTATTTTATTTTCAATCCTTCATTTTCAGAGAGTTAGGAGCAAATTTGTGTTATTGATCTTTACTTCAAACACATGACTAATTGTAAGGTAAAGTTTTCAAATTTCTTTATTATAACTGTGGAGTAAAAGTACCATTCTGTTTTTAGTTTAGATATGTGAAAATACTATAATCAAGCAGGTTAATTCTTTAAACATCACTTAAAAAGTAATAGTAGGTGGATTAATCAAATGAAATCTATAACTCCATTTTATGGTATTGGTCATTTGTATTGAGTTGAAAACAATTTTTCCAAAAGACTTCTGATCTTTTTAACTCTAAAATTAAGAACAAATACCCATATAGATGATAAAAATATCACATATAGGATGCATTTATCTTCAGAGATATAAATCTTTGCCAAAGATAACTTTTCCTATCAGAGTTCCAGGTCCCCACTTGTCAATGCAAAATTGATTTGAAAGTAGATTTTCTCCTTTTATGTTCAAGGTTGTGATTTGGGGTAATATTATGATAAATTATTTAAATTCATTTTCTTTCTACTCCTGTACCAAACAAATCTCCAAAGAAATGGTCTGTCCCTAGTCAGGGTCTCAGGAAGGTAATGTTATTTTATCCCAGTGGGGATGAGAGTTTTTCATCTTTATTTACAGCTGGCATTTTTATGCTTTTGACTCACATTGCCACTTTCTCACTATGAAACTATTCGTATTTCCTGAGAGAGGTTAAGATAATTTACTATTGCTGAACATATTTTTTGCTTACACTGATGCAAAGAATTAGACACATGACTCCTGTTAGCGTCAATTCTAATGATCCATAATGCAAAAATCAGGACCTTGTGTAAAAAGCATCTGCTTCCTTTGATTCAGAACCAAAAAGCAGGGTGGGGCCAAGATGGCTGACTAGAACTCTTGGCATTCAGAGGCTCCCACTGGAAAAAAAAAAAACATAAGCATTCACCGGTAACCAAGGTATCCAGATTCTCTCATCAAAATTGACTAGAAGGCTGGCATGATCCAATGAGAGAAGGAAGAGCAGTGTGGTGTGGTTGCCCTCCTGAGAGCCACAGGGAGAAGGGGAACCCCCTCCCCCCAGCCAAAGGAGGCAGTGCGTGAGCAGGCTACCCAGCCAGGGAAACTGTTTTTTCCATGGAACTATGCAACCCATGGATGAGAAGATGCCACTTGCAAACCCAAGCCACCAGGACCTAGCATCCCAACCCCAGATGCACAGATTCTTACATCCTCTCAGCTGGTATCTGCTTAAGCCTACTGAACTCCTGGGGAAGGGGTGACCAGCACCGTCTGTGGCTGCCTGCTGTCTAAGCCTAAGCTGTTTGAGTTTCTGTGGAGAGGGGCAGCACTGGGACTCACAACTGCATAACATGCTAAGCTCCCTGGGCGGCAGAAGGGTGGCACCCATTTCTATAGCTCCAGGCTGCAAGACTTGTCCCCACAGACCAACACACCAGCTGTGGCCAGAGTGCCTCTTCAGGCCTAACCCCGACCCATCCTTCCTCAGTGGTGGAGGAGGGGCTTCCCTGCAGCATCTCCAATAACTCCAGCCAGAGGCTCAAGGACAGAATTTGGATCTCCCTGGGCCTGAGGCCCTAAGGGAAGGGGTGGCCACAGTCTGTGGACCAGCAGACTTAGCCTCTCCTCCTGGTAGTTCTGAGGAATCCGGGCAGCCCAGACAAGTGAGCTTCCCCTCACCAAAACACAACCTCTCTACCAAGGGACAAAGTGCTTCATTAAACAGGTCCGGCTCCCCATGCCACCCAACTGGTTGAGACCCTCTAACAGGGGTTGTCGGACACCCTATCCAACAGGGGTTGTTGAACATTCCTGCTGGCATCAGGTTGGTGCCCCTTGAGGTCAGAGTTTCCAGAAGAAAGAGCAGGCACCCATCTTTGGGGCTCTCCAGCCTCCTTGAATGACATCCCCAGGCACGGGAGCGAATCAGATGAATAAGGCCTGAAGTGAATGCCCAGCTAACTGCAGCAGCCCTACAGAAGAGGGGCCAGACTACTGAAAGAAAAACAAACAAGCAGAAAGTGGCAATAGCATCATCAACAACAACAACAAAAACCCCATCCAAGGGTTAGCAGCCTCAAAGGCTGAAAATAGACAAACTCACAAAGATGACAAAGAATCAACGAAAAAATGCTAAAAACCCAAAAAGCCAAAGTGCCTCTTCTCCTCCATGATCACAGCGTCTCTCCATCTAGAGCACGGAACTGGACAGAGGATCAGATGGACAAATAAACAGAAGTAGGCTTCAGAAGACGGGTAATAAAAAACCATAATAAGCCAAAGGAGCATGTTCTAACCCAATGCAAAGAAGCTAAGAACCTAGATAAAAGGTTATAAGAATTGCTAACTAGAGTAACCAGTTTAGACAGGAACATGAAATACCTGATGGAACTGAAAAACACGGCACAAGAATTTTGTGAAGTATACACAAGTATCAAAAGCCAAATCGACCAAGTGGAAGAAAGGATATCAGAATTTGAAGACCACCTTACTGAAATAAGACATGCAGACAAGAATAGAGAAAAAAGAATGAAAAGGAATGAACAAAGCCTCCAAGAAATATGGGACTTCATAAAAAGACTGAAGCTATAATTGATTAGAGTTATCAGAAGCAGACAGGGAAAATGGAAACAAGCTGGAAAACACACATCAGGATATTATCCAGGAGAAATTCCTCAACCTATCAAGACAGGCCAACATGCAAATTCAGGAAATGCAGAGAACACCATTAAGATACTCCACGAGAAGGTCAACCCCAAGACATATAATCATCAGATTCTCCAAGGTTGAAATGAAGGAAAAACTGTTAAGGGCAGCCAGACAGAAAGACTAGGTCACCTAAAAAGGGAAGCCCATCAGACTAACAGCAGACCTCTCAGCAGAAACTCTACAAGGCAGAAGAGATTAGGGACCAATATTCAACATTCTTGAAGAAAAGTATTTTCAACCCAGAATTTCATATCCAGCCAAACTAAGCTTCATAAGCAAAGAAGAAATAAAATCCTTTCCAGACAAGCAAATGCTGAGGGATTCTGTTACCATCAGGCCTGCCCTGCAAGAGCTTCTGAAAGAAGCACTAAATATGGAAAAGAACAACTGGTACCAGTAACTGCAAAAACACACCAAAATATAAAGACCAATGACACTACAAAGGAACTGGTAGTGCATCAACTACTGTGCAAAATAAGCAAATAGCATCATGATGAGAGGATCAAATTTACACATAACAATATTAACCTTAAATGTAAATGAGCTAAATGCCCCAATTAAAAGATACAGACTGGCAAATTGGATAAGGAGTCAAGACCCATCAGTGTGCTGTATTCAGGAGACCTATCTTATGTGCAAAGACACACACAGGCTCAAAATAAAGGGATGGAGGAATATTTACCAAGCAAATGGAGAGCAAAAAAAAGCAGGGATTACAATCCTAGTCTCCAACAAAACAGACTTTAAACCAACAAAAATCAAAAAAGACAAAGAAGGGCATTACAAAATGTTAAAGGGAACAATTCAACAAGAAGAGCCAACTATTCTAAATATATATGCACCCAATACAGGAGTACCCAGATTCATAAAACAAGTTGTTAGAGACCTGCAAAGAGACTTAGACTCCCACACCATAATAGTGGGAGACTTTAACATCCCACTGACAATATTAGACAGATAAACGAGACAGAAAATTAACAAGGATATTCAGGACTTGAACTCACCTCTGGATCAAGTGGACCTGGTAGATGTCTACAGAACTCTCTACCCCAAACCAACAGAATATACGTTCTTCTCAGTGTCACATGGCACTTATTCTAAAATTGACCACATAATTGGAAGTAAAACACACCTCAGCAAATGCAAAAGAACTGTAATCATAACAAACAGTCTCTTGGGCCACAGTGCAATAAAATTAGAACTCAGGATTAAGAAACTCACTCAAAACCACACAATTTTATGGAAATTGAACAACCTGCTCCTGAATGACTCCTGGGTAAATAATGAATTTAAGGCAGAAATGAAGAAGTTCTTTGAAACCAATGAAAATAAGGAGAAAATGTACCAGAATCTCTGGGACACAGCTAAAGCAGTTTTTTTTTTTCCTGAGATGGGGTCTTGCTCTGTTGCCCAGAGCTGGAGTGCAATGGCGTGATCTTCACTCACTGCAACCTCCACCTCCTGGGTTCAAGTGATTCTCCTGGCTCAGCCTGCCAAGTAGCTAGGATTACAGGCGTGTGCCACCATGCCCAGCTAATATGTATTTTTAGCAGAGATGGGGTTTCACCATGTTGGCCAGGCTGGTCTTGAAGTCCTGACCTTGTGATCTGCCTGACTTGGTGTCTCAAAATGCTGGGATTACAGGCATGAGCCACCATGACTAGCCTAAAGCAGTCTTAAGAGGGAAATTTATAGCACTAAATGCACACATCAGAAAACTAGAAAGATCTCAAATTGACACCCTAGAATCACAATTAAAAGAGCTAGAGAGTCAAGAGCAAACTAATCCAAAAGCTAGCAGAAGAAAAGAAATAATTAAGGTCAGAGAAGAACTGAAGGAAATAGAAAAGCAAAAAACCCTCCAAAAAAAAAATCAATGAATCCAGGAACTGTTTTTTTGAAAAAATTAACAAAATAGATAGACCACTAGCTAGACTAATAAAGGAGAAGAGAGAGAAGAATGAAATAAACTCAATAAAAAATAATAAAGCAGATATCACAACTGACCCCACATAAATATAAACTACCATGAGAGAATACTATAAACACCTCTGCACAAATAAATTAAAAAATCTAGAAGAAATGGATAAATTCCTGGATGCATACACCCTACCACGACTAAAACAGGAAGAAGTTGAATTCCTGAATAGACCAATAACAAGCTCTGAAATTGAGGCAGTAATAGCCTACCAACCAAAAAATGCCCAGGACCAAATAGATTCACAGCTGAATTCTACCAGAAATACAAAGGGGAGCTGGTACCATTCCTTCTGAAATTATTTCAAACAATTGAAAAGGAGGGACTTCATTTTATGAAGCCACCATCATCCTGATATCAAAACTAAGAAGAGACACAACAAAAAAAGGAAACTTCAGGCCAATATCCCTGATGGATATAGATGTAAAAGTCATTATTAAAATACTGGCAAACTAAGTCCAGCAGCACATCAAAAAGCTTATCCACCACAATCAAGTCGGCTTCATTCCTGGGATGCAAGGCTGGTTCAACATATGCAAATTAATAAATGTAATCCATCACATAAACAGAACCAATGACAAAAACCACATGATCATCAAAATAAAAGCAGACAAGGCCTTTGATAAAATTCAACATCTCTTCATGTTGAAAACCCTCAATAAACTACATATTGATGGAACATATCTCAAAATAATAAGAGCTATTTATGACAAACCCACAGCCAATATCATACTGAATGGGCAAAAGCTGGAAGCATTGCCTTTGAAAATCGGCACAAGAAAAGTATGCCCTCTCTCACCACTCCTATTCAACATTGTTTTGGAAGTTCTGGCCAGGGTCATCAGACAAGAGAAAGAAAGAAAGGGTATTCAAATAGGAAGAGAGGAAGTCAAGTTGTTTCTGTTTGCAGATAACATGATTGTATATGTAGAAAACCCCATCGTCTCAGCCCAAAAACTCAAGCTGATAAGCAATTTCAGCAAAGTCTTAGGATACAAAATCAATGTGCAAAAATCACAAGCATTCCTATATGCCAATAATAGAGAGCCAAATCATGAGTGAACTCCCATTCACAATTGCTACAAAGAGAATAAAATACCTAGGAATCCAACTTACAAGGGATGTGAAGGACCTCTTCAAGGAGAACTACAAATCACTGTTCAAGGAAATAAGAGAGGACACAAACAAATGGAAAAACATTCCATGCACATGGATAGAAAGAATCAATATCATGAAAATGGCCATTCTGCCCAAAGCAATATACAGATTCAATGCTATTCCCATCAAGCTACCGTTGATTTTCTTCACTGACTTAGAAAAGACTACTTTAAATTTCATATGGAACCAAGAAAGAGCCTGTATAGTCAAGACAATCCTAAGCAAAAAGAACAAAGCTGGAGGCATTATGCTACCTGACTTCAAACTATAATATAATGCTACAGTAACCAAAACAGCATGGTATTGGTACCAAAACAGATATATATAGACCAATGGAACAGAACAGAGGCCTCAGAAATAACACTACACATCTACAACCATCTGATCTTTGACAAACCTAACAAAAACAAGCAAAGGGGAAAGGATTCCCAACAAATGGTGTTGGGAAAACTGGCTACTCATATGCAGAAAACTGAAACTGGACCCCTTCCTTACACCTTATACAAAAATTAACTCAAGATGGATTAAAGACTTAAATGTTAGACCTAAAAACATAAAAACCCTAGAAGAAAACCTAGGCAGTACCATTCAGGATATAGGCATGGGCAAGGACTTCATGTCTAAAACACCAAAATCAATGGCAACAAAAGCCAAAATTGACAAATGGGATCGAATTAAACTAAAGAGCTTCTGCACTGCAAAAGAAACTATCATCTGAATGAACAAGCAACCTACAGAATGGGAGAAAATTTTTGCAATCTATGCATATGACAATGGGCTAATATCCAGAATCTACAAGGAACTTAAGCAAATTACAAGAAAAAAAAAAACAAAACAAAAAACAACTCCATCAAAAAGTGGGCAAAAGATATGAACAGACACTTCTCAAAATAAGACATTTATGTGGCCAAGAACCATATGATAAAAAGTTTATCCTCACTGGTCACTAGAGAAATGAAAATCAAAACCATGATGAGATACCATCTCATGCCAGGTAGGATGGCGATCATTAAAAAGTCAGGACACAACAGATGCTGAAGAGGATGTGGAGAAATGGGAACATTTTTACACTGTTCGTGGGAGAATAAATTAGTTCAGCCATTGTGGAAGACAGTGTGGCCATTCCTCAAGGATCTAGAACCAGAAATACCATTTGACCTAGCAATCTCATTACTGGGTATATACCCAAAGGATTATAAATCATTCTACTATAAAGACACATGCACACGTATGTTTATTGAAGCACTATTCACAACACCAAAGACTTGGAACCAACCCAAATGCCCATCAATGATAGACTGGATAAAGAAAATGTGGCACATATACACCATGGAATATTAACTATGCAGCCATAAAAAGAATGAAATCATGTCCTTTGCAGGGACATGGATGAGGCTGGAAGCCATCATTCTCAGCAAACTAACACAAGAAGAGAAAACCAAACACTGCATGTTTTCACTCATAAGTGGGAGTTGAACATTTTGAACACATGGACACAGGGAGGGGAACATTACACACCAGGGTCTGTCAGGGGGTGGGGGTAAGGGGAGGGATAGCATCAGGAGAAATACCTAGTGTAGATGATGGGCTAATGGGTGCAGCAAACCACCATGGCACATGTATACCTATGTAACAAACCTGCACGTTATGCACATGTATCCCAGAACCTAAAGTATAATTAAAAGAAAAAGACTGAGGATGACATCTATAAACTGATATGGATTGGCTTCCAAGATATAGTGTTAAATGTAAAAAGCAAAGTGTGAGAAAGTGTCTATGGTATGGAACATTTTGTGCAATTAAGAAGAGGGAATAAGAAAATATATATTTCTCTGCACAACTGTACAAAAAGTAACTTAGGAAAGGAAACCCAGAAACTATGATATTGGTTCCATACAGGAGTCGGTGGAAAGGGAGTGACTAAAGTTGCAGATAGCAAGATAAAGTCACTTTTGTGAGACCCAAGCAAACTGGAGCCAGGAAAACACCAAGAAGGACAGCTCATGCTTGCACGTCTGAGATAAAGACTATTTCAAGGACTTTCTAAAATAACCTCATAAGAAATTCCTTCATCTTTTACACATCTCATACTTTTCATGATCTAAGTTTTGCAAGTATGCACATATTTCTATGACTAGGTTTATCACTAGACATTCTTTAGGACTGCAGCAATTCTGACAAGATGCTCTCAAAAGAACACTTGCCTAGCAACAGCACCTCTACCAATGAACTGATGTTAATTCTAGCTTTAAGCATCAAGAACCAATGAACTCTGTCTCCAAGCAGCTTACATAACTTCTCTTTGCCAGTAAAAATGTTTCTTTACCTTTGGCTTTATGTCCCTATGGCTTGCTATAGCTGTGCTTCCCAGGTTATAATCCTTTTTGCTTACTCTCGAATAAACTCATCATGTTAGAATAAAAAAATGTAGATAGCTTAAAAATACTGTATTGCTAAAAAAATTCTAACAGTCACCTGAGCCTTCAGTGAGTCATAATATTTTTGCTGGTGGAGGGTCTTGCCTTAATGTTGATGACTGCTGAGTGATAAAGTAGTGGCTGCTGAAGGTTGGGGTAACTGGTAATTTTAATAAATAAGACAACAGAAAGTATGCCATCTTGATTGACTCTTAATTTCATGAAAGATTCCTCTGTAACATGTGATGCTGTTTGATAGCATTTTGTTCACAGTAGAACTTCTTTCAATATTGGAATCAATCCTCTCAAGCCCAACAGGCTTAATAAAGCAACAGGCTTGATAAAGCAACAGCTGCTTTATCAACTACATTTATGAACTATTCTAAATATCCTTTGTTGTCCTTTCAACAATGTTCACAGCATCTTACCCAGAGTAGATTCCATCTCAAGAAACAATTTTCTTTGCTCATCTATAAGAAGCAACTCTTCATTCATTCAAGTTTCATCATGTGATTGTAGCAATTCAGTCACATCTTCAAGCTCCACTTCTAACTGCAGCTTTCTTTCTTTTTTTGTAACATATTCTTTTTTTAATTTATTTTTTAAATTATACTTTAAGTTCTAGGGTACATGTGCACAACGTGCAGGTTTGTTACTTATGTATACATGTGCCATGTTGGTGTGCTGCACCCATTAACTCGTCATTTATGTTAGGTATATCTTCTAATGCTTTCCCTCCCCCAGCCCACCACCACACGACAGGCCCCGGTGCGTGATGTTCCCCTTCCTGTGTCCAAGTGTTCTCATTGTTCAATTCCAACCTATAAGTGAGAACATGCAGTGTTTGCTTTTTTGTCCTTGCGATAGTTTGCTGAGAATGATGGTTTCCAGCTTCATCCATGTCCCTACAAAGGACATGAACTTTTTTATGGCTGCATAGTATTCCATGGTGTATATATGCCACATTTTCTTAATCCAGTCTATCATTGATGGACATTTGGGTTGGTTCCAAGTCTTTGCTATTGTGAATAGTGCTGCAATAAACATATGTGTGCATGTGCCTTTATAGCAGCATGATTTATAATCCTTTGGGTATATACCCAGTAATGGGATGGCTGGGTCAAATGGTGTTTCCAGTTCTAGATCCTTGAGGAATCGCCACACTGTCTTCCGCAATGGTTGAACCACTTTACGGTCCCATCAACAGTGTAAAACTGTTCCTGTTTCTCCACATCCTCTCCAGCACCTGTTGTTTCCTGAATTTTTATTTATTTATTTATTTATTTATTTATTTATTTATTTATTTTATTTTATTTTTTTAAATTTTATTATTATTATACTTTAAGTTTTAGGGTACATGTGCACAATGTGCAGGTTAGTTACATATGTATACTTGTGCCATGCTGGTGTGCTGTACCCATTAACTCATCATTTAGCATTAGGTATATCTCCTAAAGCTATCCTTCCCCGCTCCCCCCACCCCACAACAGTCCCCAAAGTGTGATGTTCCCCTTCCTGTGTCCATGTGTTCTCATTGTTCAATTCCCACCTATGAGTGAGAATATGTGGTGTTTGGTTTTTTGTTCTTGTGATAGTTTACTGAGAGTGACGATTTACAGTTTCATCCATGTCCCTACAAAGGACATGAACTCATCATTTTTATGGCTGCATAGTATTCCACGGTGTATATGTGCCACATTTTCTTAATCTAGTCTATCATTGTTGGACATTTGGGCTAACTCCAGCTTTCTTGCTATATCTATGGTATTTGAAATTACCTCCTCCACTGAAGGCTTAAACCCCTCAACACCATCCATGAGGGTTGGAATCAACGTCTTCCACACTCTCACTAATGTTGATATTTTAGCTGTCTTTCATGAATTACAAATGTTCTTAATGGCATCTAGAATGGTGAATCCTTTCTGAAGGGTTTTTGATTTAATTTGCCCAGATCCATCAGAATAACCACTATCTATGGCAGCTATAGCCTTACAAAACATATTTCTTAAGTAGTAAGACTTGAAAAGTCAAAGTTCCCTCTTGATTTATGGGCTGCAGAATAGATGTTGTGTTAGCAGGCATAAAAACAACAGAAATCTCCTTGTTTATCTCCATCAGAGCTCTTGGGTGACCAGGTGCTTAGGCAAGGAGAAGTAGTAATATTTTGAAAGATTTTTTTTGTTTGTTTGTGTTTTGTTGTTTCTGTTTTGTTTTGTTTTGTTTTGTTTCTTCCCTGAGCAGTAGTTCTCAACAGTGGGCTTGAAAAATTCAGGAAACCATACTGTAAACAGATGTGGTGTCATTTAGGCTTTATTGTTGCATTTTTAGAGCACAGGCAGAGTAGATTTGGCATAACTCTTAAGGAACCTAGGATTTTTGGAATGGTAAATAAGGATTGGTTTTAACTTAAAGTCACCAGCTGCATTAGCCCCTAACAAGCTAGCCTGTCCTTTGAAGTTTGAAGCCACACATTGCCTTCTAACTATGAAAGTCCTAGATGGCATCTTCTTTTCCTAGAAGTCTGTTTTGTAAAACTCTGTTGTTTAGTATATTTGCCTCCATCAGTGGTCTTAGCTAGATCTTCTGGATTACTTGCTGCAGTTTTACATCAGCATTTCTGCTTCACCTTGTACTTTTACATTGTGGCAATGGGTTCTTTCCCTTAAACTCATGAACCAACTCTGCGAGCTTCAAATTTCTTTTCTGCAGCTTCCTGACCTCTCTTAGACTTTATAGAATTTGAAGAGTTAAAGAAAAGTTAAGGCCTTACTCTGGATGAGGTGTTGGCTTAGGGGAATGTTGTGGCTTGTTTGATCTTCTATTCAGACCACTACAACTTTCTCCCTATTAGCAATAAGTTCTGTGTTAGGCCATTCTTGCGTTTCTATAAAGGAATACCTGAGGCTGGGTATTTATAAAGAAAAGGGATTTAATTGGCTCAGCGTTCTGCAGGCTGTACAAGTATGGCACCAGCATCTGCTTCTGGTGAGGGCCTCAGGAAGCTTCCAATCATAGCAGAAGCCATGGCGAGCCAGCATATTACATTGCGAGAGTGAGAGCAAGGGAAAGAAAAGGGGTAGGTCCCAGACTTTTAAACAACCACATTCCATATGAACTAACTGAGCAATAACTCACAAGGGAATGGTGTTAAACCATTTATGAAGGATTTACTCCCATGATCCAGCCATCTCCCACCAGGCCCCACCTTCAATACTGGAAATCACATTTCAACATGAGATTTGGAGAGGTCAAACATCCAAATTATATCAAAGGTGTTTTGCTTTCTTATCATTTGTGTGTTCACTGGAGTAGCACTTTTAATTTCCTTCAAAAACTTTTCCTTTGTGTTCACAACTTGGCCAACTGGCTGGTACAAGAGGCCTAGCTTTCAGCCTATCTTGGCTTTTGACATGCCTTCTTCACTAAGCTTAATTAGTTCTAGCTTTTGACTTAAAGAGAAAGACTTGTGACTCTTCCTTTCACTTAAACTCTTAGAGGCCACAGTAGGGTTATTAGTTATCCTAATTTCAATATTGTTGTTTCTCAGGGAACACAGAAGCCTGAGGAGAAGGGGAAATGGCCTATGGGTGGAGCAGTCAGAACACACACAACATTTATTGATTAATTTTGCTATCTTATATTGGCGTGGTCCATGGTTTATGGTAGTACAAAACAATTAAAATAGTAACATTAATTATCACCTGGCACAGATCACCATAACACAGTAATAATGAAAATACTTGAATATTGCAAGAATTACCAAAATGTGACAAAGAGACACCAAGTGAGCATATGCTGTTGGAAAAATGGTGCTGATAGACTTAGTCAATGTAGGTTTGCCACAACCCTTCAACTAGTAGAAAATGCAGTATCTGCAAAGCATAAGAAAGTGAAAGGCAATGAACAAGGTATACCTGCACCTGCTGCTTTGCTACACACCTGTGCCCTGGCTGTGAAACTCCTAGAATCTTTGAGAACTCGGGTGTTCAATACTTTCTCCTCTCTGATACTGTGCATTAAATTTGTGCTTGCATAAAAACAAACAAAAAAAATTAAAGATCTTCTGCACAGCAAAAGAAATTATCATCAGAGTGAACAGGCAACCTACAGAGTGGGAGAAATTTTTTGCAATCTACCCATTTGACAAATGTCTAATGCGCAGAATGTACAAGGAACTTAAACATATTTACAAGAAAAAAACAATTCCATCAAAAAGTGGGCAAAGGATATGAACAGACACTTCTCAAAAGAAGACATTTACACAGCCAACAAACATATGAAAGAAAGCTCAGCATCTCTGACCATCAGGGAAATGCAAATCAAAACCACAATGAGATACCATCTCATGCTGGTCAGAATGGTGATTACTAAAAACTCAGGAAACAATAGATGCTGGTGAGGCTTTGGAGAAGTAGGAAAGCTTTTACACTGTTGGCGGGAATGTAAATTTGTTCAACCATTGTGGAAGACAGTATGGCGATTCCTCAAAGACCTATAACCCCAAATACCATTTGACCTAGTAATCCTGAGTATTACTGAGTATATACCCAAAGGGTTATAAATCATTCTACTATAAAGAAACATGTATGTTTACAGCAGCACTCTTTACAATACCAAAGACTTGGAACCAACCCAAATACCCATCAATGATTGACTGGATAAAGAAAATGTGGGGTACATATACACCATGGAATACTATGCAGCCATAAAAAGGAATGAGATCATGTCCTTTGCAGGGACATGGGTGAAGCTGGAAGCCATCATTCTCAGCAAACACAGGAACAGAAAACCAAACACCGCATGTTCTCACTCATAAGTGGGAGTTGAACGTTGAGAACACATGGACACAAGGAGGGGAGCAACACACACCAGGGCCTGTTGGGGGATGGGGGGTGAGGGGAGGGAACTTAAAGGATGGGTCAATAGGTGCAGCAAACTACCATGGCACACATATACCTATGGAACAAAGCTGCCCATCCTGCACATGAATCCCGTTTTTTTTGTATGTTTGTTTTGTTTTTTTTGTTTTTTGTTTTTGTTTAAGAAATAAAGAAAAAAAAGAAATAGAAAAAAAAATGTTTGCATATGCCCATATACTCAGGTGCTGATTCACAGGCACAACACAAGTGGGGATTCAGGAATTTGGGCAGATAATAGAGCCAATCCATGTAATGTTGGTATCAAATGATCATCTTTATCAAGCGAGACCAGAATTGGATACTGAACCTATACATTTTAACCCTTCTGTTAATTCTCCTTTCGAATTTATTATGTACATCTAACAAAAACACAAAGGTTTATAACAAATCAGCCATACGAATATGTAGATTTGATCCAAATTGTTCATATCCTTCAAGTAAAATTCTTCCTTGCAATTCCACACATTTTTTTTGTTAATATGACTTGAGTCATATTTCACATATGCAAAAGAGTTACCAACACTTACAGCACTATCACGGACCTAGGGTGCCTAAGAAAACAACTTCCTCTAAAATGACTGATACTGGCACCTCTGTGTAAAAACATAAGGCTCATCCTCTGAAGCAACCAGCACAGGTTAAACTTTTAATACCTTCAATCTACTCTCCTTTCAAGTATCTTGAGGGAAGTAAGAGTGTAAGGGTCAAACATACATCTGAGTTTAATTATAGGACACTGTATTGGGATACCTCTGAGACCTTTTTTCTTTCAAGTAACAGCATATGTTAGCTTAAAGGTGGAAAGGTTATTTTCTCCCTCCACATCACTGGAAATCCAGACTTCTTACTGCATTTAGATACTTTGATGTTTTCATTGAGCTGGAGTTACTAAAGAAATTGATTTAAGAGAGACTTCTGTTTTAGCAACATGATTTCCTTAAATAGCAAAATAATTGGCAACCGGCTGGCTCAAATAAAGTCTTTAAAAAGAGACACAAAGGGATGTCTATTTTTCCAATCTTCACAATGTTAGTACAATCCTCCATAAGTCTGTCTCTAATATGTTAAAGAAAGTAAAGTTAATGAACACAGAGGAAAATTCACTTTCTTCAGTGGATGTATGAATATATATACATGCATATACGTATGCATAAAGTAGAATGGGAAGTGTATGAACCACACAGATCTCTTTGAAATTGCATATGCTGCTTAGTGACTTTAGTGTTTGTTTAACATCTGCTTTCATTACATAGTAAAAACCATGAGGCACTAATCACTAAAGATTACCTCTAGGTAAAGTAATAATAACACTCTGACCTATCCAGTTAGTGTTTCCATTTGCTTATACCATATGGTGATTTTTTAAAAATGCAAGGTGGAAATGAAACAGCATCTGGAGAGCATTCTTCCCCCGTCCCAACTATAGCATTCTTCCATCACCTAAGCACCAAAGTGCACTGTGTTGAAGTTTAAATATACCCACTCATTTCTTTTTGTTGGCTGTCTACAGTGTGAAGGCTTAAGACATAGATTTATTTTCAAGTGAATTCTAAAGTACATGGTAACTGGCTCTAAATAAAATAAGCTACTAAAATAGAAGCTATTTCTCATCCTATTCCTACAATGACCAGACAAGTTCCAATAGCTAATTTTGAAACAAAATAATATAAAAGTCTGTAAAAAGAGACACAAAGGAATGCCTGCTTTTCCAGTCTTTAAAATCATAGTACAATCCTCTATGATTCTGTCTCTAAAATGTTAAAGAAAGTAAAGTTAAATAAATGGACATAGATGAAAATTCACTGTCTGAAGTGTATACATCATGTATATGCATTATATATATGTGTACATGTATACACACATATATACATATATATGTATACATGTATATGCATGTATATATATACATACACATATATATGGTGTAGAATGTATGTAAGTAGAATTTGATTTAATGTACCTTTTAGTATTTCTATTTTTCTAATAAAGTTTTAGTTTTAGAATAGTTTCAGATTTACAGAAAAATTACAAAGATAATATAGAGAGTTTTCATGTATCTCATATTGTTTCTCCTATTATTTATATCTTAAATAATTATGGAATATGTCTTACAATTAATGAACCAATATTGATATGTTATTATTAACTAAAGTCCATATTTTTTTTCTAATTTTTACAGTTTTTAACCTAATGCCCTTTTGTTTTTTTCATTTCAGAATCTCATCTAGGATACCATATTGGATTTAGTTAACATGTCTCTTTAGGCGCCTCTTGGCTGTGACAGTTTCTTAGACTGTTTTCTTGGTTTTGATAACTTTGACAGTAGCGTTCAGTACTGCTTAGATACTTTGTAGAATATACCTCAACTGCAGTTTGTTTCATAGTCTTTTGATGACTAGACTGGGGTTACAGTTTCAAGAGGAAAGACAACAGGGTTAAACTGTCATTCCTACCAAATCATATCAAGAGTACATCTTATCAATATCACTTATCACTGTTGATCTTCACCTTGATCACCTACAAGGCTGAGGAGGTGTCTGTCAGTTTTCTGCACTGTAAAGTTACTCTTCCCGGCCCTTTCCATTTGTACTTTTTGGGAGTCAGTCATCACATATCACACTTAAGGAGTAGGGAGTTATATTCTAGCTCCCTATTGAGGGCAGAATATTTACATAAAATATTTGGAATTCCTTTATATGGAAGATTACTTTAATTCTCATTTCTTTATTTCTTCAGTCATTACATTATATCAGTATGGTCACATAGATATTAATTTTATACTTTAAATTATAATCCAACCATTTTTCTTGTTTTGGCTACTGTTAGTTTTTTAAGTAGCTTCTGTATCCCTTTGACATATACCCTGTGTGTATACGTCACTGCTATGTTTGTTGGGACTACAAGATGCTCCATCAGGATCATCTTGAGTATGTTCTTCCCCTTAAATCAGACATTAATTCAGGAATCCCTGGTTTCTTTTATTGGAATATGGTAATACAAAAAAAATTGCACTAGGTGAGGTTTTGGTTTTGGTGAGGAAATTTAGGTACATATATAATGGAATCTTGAGTAATCTACACGCTAACTCCTTTTTTGTTGTTTATATTTAAGGAAGCTATTCTACTTTACCTCTAGTTTAAAAGTGATACATCAGAAGTTGTATTATCTGTTTCATTAAACATATTTGGTATTGACAAGATAAAGATGGAGAACAATTTTTGATAGCACAACCTATGCAAATTAACATGCTTTTATGACCATTTTAATTTTCAATCATGACTTTTTTTAGTTTATTGCTATCATGGAAATGAAACTGATTTATGTGAGGAAAAGCAAAAATTAATTTTTAAAATGTTTCATGATTGATGATCCTAAATTGAAACTACTTTGAAATTTTGAATAATAATACAACCATTAAGAAACTGCAAGCCATTTTAGGGTATGTTATAAATATTTTGTCATTTCAAGTCATCATTTTCATGCCTACATGTTTCTAGAAGTAAATTGCCATTGACATCACCATCGTTATCAATGCTATACAGAAATTCTACTGAGAAATTGAAAAACATTTTATTTACTGTTCAGCACAGTTGGAAGACAGGAAAATAATTATATACAGAGAAAAACTCATCTAGCACGAACTACATCTTTGTGTCACCCCAAAATTCATAATATGAAATCTTAAGCCCCAGTGTGAGGATATTAGGAGTTGGGTCCATTGAGAGGTTTTTAGATCATGAGGGTAAAGCCTTCATGAATGAGATCAGTGCCCTTATAAAAGAGACTCTGAGGCCAGGTGCGGTGGCTCACGCCTGTAATTCCAGTACTTTGGGAGGCGGAGGTGGGCGGATCACAAGGTCAGGAGATGGAGACCATCCTGGCCAACATGGTGAAACCCCCTCTCTACTAAAAATACAAAAATTAGCTGGGCATAGTGGTGCGTGTCTGTAATCCCAGCTACTCGGGAGGCTGAGTCAGGAGAATCGCTTGAACCAGGGAGTCAGAAGTTGCAGTGAGCCGAGATCACGCCAGCCACTGCACTCCAGCCTGCGCTAAAAAATAAATAAATAAATAAATAAATAAATAAATAAATAAATAAATAAATAAAAATAAAAATAAAATAAAATAAAATAAAAACTGAAAAGTTTGCTAGCCCTCCTTCCACCATGAAAGGACACAAAAAAAGGTTGGAAGTTTGTAAACTGAAAGAGGACCCTCACCAGAACTCAGCCATGCTGGCACCCTTATCCCAAACTTCCAGCCTCCAGAACCTGGGAAATTTTTGTTTATAAGCCACCTGGTTTATGGTATTCTGTTATAGAAGCCGAACCGACTGCGGTATCATTTTTTTTTTCAACAAAGCCTACTCCATAAGCATCCTGGTTGCCAAACATACCCAATTTACCATTTCTAATCTCTTTTTTAAATGTATAATAATTAAATTTCCCTCTTACATAGAACTGCAAGTGGTGGGCTGACATTATTTTGTAAAATCCTGTGTAAAGTGCATTTTGCATTTAAGCAGAAGGTCTTCTGAATTACTTAACATATTCTGTTTTTCCCTAGCCCTACTGTTGTTATTATTAAATTAGGAAGCATTTTAAAATAACTCAGAGATTTATGTTTTGCTTAGATCTTTTCTATCATCTTTTATTATATGATCCTAATATCTATGGAGTTATTGAATATTTTTATAGAGACATTTTTTTCCATATGAAGAAACAAAAGCTGAGAGTTACTAAGTAGTTTCTTTAGGACTTTAAGTAGTATTAGTGATAATTTTAAATTAGTGATAATTTTAGAACCCCTTTGAAAGCCCCCCAAGAGTTCCTCTCTTGGGAGAAATAGTAACATGTCTGTACTAGGACATATAGCAGTCTTTGGATGTGAGAAAAGGGAAAAATTTCTCTGCTCTCAGAGTTAACACAGGAAGACTGAAGGGGTGGCAGATTCTGGCCAGCATGAAACTTAGACTGGAAGGTACTCAAGGTTTGCTCAGACTGAAGTGCTAGCAGAAGGTGGCAGGCAGAAGGAGAGAGTGGCTCTGTATATATAAACTGAAAATGGTTCCGTAGCTAAAATACGTTTTAAAGTGGAATTCTAGGTCATAGATAAGTGAAGCATTAGCATAACGCATTTTTATCCTCCTTTTGGAGAAATCACAGCCTAATTACCACAGTGGCACACTAAGTCACAAAAATATTTTTGTTCTGTAGTTAGAGCCACCCAAACACCACATCACCAGACATTACTGATGGCTCGTGTTTAGGTCCAAATTTTCTAGTGATGTGACAAAACCACACAAACTGAGCTAGATCATCTGCGTTACAACAGATATTTGTGCTATACACTGATAATATAAAATTTCATATGCTTAAAGAATGTCTCTGACATCGAATTATGTGTCCATCATCTCCAAAGGTATGATAAAGTTCCTTGCATAAGAATCTGTATTAATGTAAAATTTTATCCTTCAAGACCATTTCATTTAAAGGGAGAATAAAGCAGAAATTGAAGATCAAAACTTCAGTTTACCCCGAGTAGACCTCAGTTTGTATAGATAGATGATAGATAGATAGATAGATAGATTTGATGATGTAGTTTGAACTTGATAGTTTTTCATCTCTCACTGAAACCTTTTATTCACTGTACCACTTTTAAATCTAGCAACAATTGTACATTCCAAAGTAAATTTTTTCAGAAGTCACATAAGTAATAATTCTAATGTCCCTATTGCTACTATTATTATGCATTCTATCAAAAGGGTAACATTAATATTAATCCAACACTAGAGAAAGTAACTTGAACTATTTTATTAAAGGTGACAATCATCAGTTTGTTTTCTCATTAAATATGAAAACTGTGGTAGCAGTACCATTTTATATTGGCAAATTTTAAAATGAATCTCTAAAAAAAATTTTTATTTGCACAATCTCTTTCACATCCTTTCAACAACGAATATACCAAAAACATACAGGTATTGAGCACCACATTAAGCAAGGCCAAGTACATAGAGATAAATGAGGCACTGTAATTACTCACAAGGAGATTCTAAACTAATGGGATGAGAAGATGGAAATAAATCACAAGGGTGAATGCAGCTTTTATAAAAAGACAAAGGCATGGAGGCAAAGCTCAGGATTTGAATCCAGAACACTGTGAAGCACAAGTCTTACCAATCATTAGCTTTTTATTGATTCAATGCAATCACCCAGGGTATTGAATTTTAGTTTACCCTTCTGCAAAATGGGCTTTTATGTGGAATCAAAAGAATACTTTTTATATAGCCCAATACAACTTGAAAAATACTGCAAAATACAAGCCAATAGGTTTTGAAGGATAGACGGTAACTCTATTCACTTGTTAATGATAAGAAATGTATTATATCTGCACAAGTGTGCATTAATTTGCTAAGAAAGTGGTAGTGGAGTTTGGAAGACTTACACCTGCAGAAAACAAGAAAGAAGATATTTCCAGAGTAGAAAACAGTGTGGAAAAGGCAGGGAGATTGTAAAATGTAGGCTGTGTCCGGGAACATAGTATGATTGTATTCAACCAGAGAATGCGGACCACAAATACAGGGTTAGTGGAAAATCACGTGAAAAGATAGGCTCGGGTCATGATGCTAGCGCCTTATGTACATGATGAAATAATCTCAATGCAATTTTAAATGTAATAGGTAACAAGGAAATGGTTTATGAAATAGTGACACAATCTATTCTGAATAGAAGGAAGACACAACTAACAGCAACATTAAGGATGGATTGGAGTTCAGAAAAAACAGGGTGGAAGAGGATTACAATCACGTGAGTGATGTTGAACTACAGCAGGAACAGTGTGAATGGTACAGCGACTGAGTGAGAGACCCTGATGACTCTGAAATTCCAATTATTAGTGAAGGCCTCACTCCAAACAACTAGACCTCTTTATTTAACCACCAGATATAAATTTCCAACTTGTGATCTTAATAGTATCTCAAATTCAACAAATATATATATATTTTTTACTCTCTAAATGTGTTTTTTCCTCCTTATAACCACTGTTTCACCCCTAGATTTATTCATTCAATTGTCCCCACAAATGTTGAAGCCAGAATTTCCTATTTTGGCTAAAGATATCTGCAATGCACCCAGCTTCCTTCATAAGAAACATTGAATGAGATATTCCTTATGTTTTACATCCGGTAATTCACCATGTCTTGTCCTTTCCTTCTTGTAAATATCTTTGCCATCTGAACTCTCCTTTTCCCTGTAGGCCACTGTCTTAAATTTGACTTTTGTCATTTCTCTTCTACATTATTGCAAATGTTTTCCTGCCCCCCCAGACTTCTTACATCTTTCTCTTTCTAATTTAAGTTTATTAAGACACAATTTAAAATAGTAAATTTTACCCCTTTTAAAGGGGGTATAGTTGAATGGTTTTTACAAATTTATATAGCTATATTGCCACCTCAGAAAATATAGTATATTGCCATTAGTCTTCATACTCAATTGTGTAATGCCCTCCTCTTAGCCTCTCCCCTGGCATCATCTGTTTTAAATATGTTACATAATAATGCACTCTGCATTGCTGTCAGAATGCTTTTTCTAAAATAAAAATCTCTTTGCTGAAAGATTTCAGTGAGTGACTTCCCATTACATTAATGGTCTATACATTAGCATGTCTGCTAAGACTCTTCATGATCTGATACCATGCATCTCTCCTGTCTCATATTTACCCTTGTCCATCATGTACAACCTCTTCAGTCATTTCACACTTTTTAAAATATTGAGTTTTTGTTAATTTTGGCCTTTAAACTATATCTCTTCTTTATTAATTTTATTTTATTAAAAAACAGTAGTTGCTCCATACAATATTAACCTACCATAGTCTGCCTTTAAATAAAACTATACTATATCTTAATTTATATGAGCATTATTCTTTCTCTCTTCTTGTTTGCATTATTATTGTAATATAATTTATTTTTACATGTATTAGAAAGCTTATAGGAAAAATTATTTTTCTTTGAATATTTATCTTTTAAAAATAATTTTAAATGAATTAATTATTTTATGATCACATATATCTAGTACTATTTATTGTTCTGTGTAGTTGTGAATTTCAATCTGATGTCATTCTCCTTCAGCCCCAACTATCATTTTTATATTTCTTGTAGTACAAGCCAGCTGCTGACAATTTTTTTCATCTTTGCTTGAATTAAAATGTCTATTTGGCATTCAATTTTTGAAATTTTTTTCCAGATATAAAATTTTAGGGTTTTTTTTCCTCTTATTTATTTAAAGATGTCACTTCACTATTTTGGGGTTTTTGTGTGTGTGTGTGTGTGTGTGTGTGTGTTTGTGTTTTCTGTTGTTGGTTTGCTTTGCATTGTTTCTGATGGGAAGGCAGTAGTAATTTTTTTACAGTGTATATAAGGTGTTCTTTCTTCTGGTGGCATTTAATATTGCCACTCTATGGTTACTTTTCTGAAATGTGAGTATAATGTGCTTTGGATTTGATTTATTTTATTATCCTGCCTGTGTTTTGTTGTGCTCCTTTGATCTGTGCATTTATATTTTTTATTCAATTTGGAAAACTCTTAGCTAGTATTTTTTAAATATTGCTTTTGCTTCCACTTCTCCTATTTTTTGGACTCCAATTATACTAATAATATTTACATTAGACTAGTTGTCTTATATATATTGTCTCATTATTTATGGAGGATTAGTTCTTTCTTTCTTTTTCTTTCTCTCTCTCTCTCTCTCCTCTCTCTCTCTCTCTCTCTCCTCTTTTTTCTTTTTTGAGAACTTGGTCTTGTTCTGTCACCCAGGCTGGAGTGCATTGGTGTGATTAGGGCTCACTGAAGCCTCAGCTGATCCTCCCACCTCAGCCTCCTGAGTAGCTGGGACTACAGGCCCCCACCAACGCGCCTGGATAATTCTTGTATTTTTAGTAGAGATGGGTTTTTGCCATGTTGGCCAGGCTTGTCTTGAACTCCTGACCTCAAGTGGTCTGCCTACCTCTGCCTCCCAAAGTCCTGGGATTACAGGCATGAGCCGCTGTGCCTGGCCTCCTTCTCTTCTTTTCCAGACTTTGTTTACTTTTCTCTCTGTGCTTCAGTTTGGATATTTTCTATTTTCCTTCCATACAGTTCACAGACCTTTCTTTATAATCTGTTGCAAACTCTTTCTAATGTTTCTTTTATTTATTTATTTTTGCATGTAAGATATTGCATATTTAGAATCTGAAAGCTCCATTTGATTCGTTTTAACAGTTTCCATTTCTTTCTTCATTGAATTTAAATATTCTTTATAAACTTTGAACACATTTAAAATAGTTCTGCGGACCTTTCTCAAATTTCATCATCTCCGTCACTTTTGGGTCTATTTGTATTCTTTTTTTTTCTTCTGGTTATGAGACAAAGTTTTTTGTCCTTTGCCTACCTTTATCTTTTTTTAACCATAGGATAAGCATTGTAAAGGTGGAATTGTTGAGAGTCTCCCTGTTGTTATTTCCCTTAATAATGGTTGACCTTTGTTCCAGCAGGCAGTTAATATACTTGAAGAGCAGCTTAATCATTTTAATAGTTTGCTTTTTATGATTTTAGGGTGTGCTCAGCATAGTTGTTACAGATAGTTTAACCCTACCACTAATATAGGGTATGTAATGGATGTCTAGTGTTCAAAGAGGTCTTTCCATTTGAGCCAGTGTGTACCCTTTCATTCTTAGACCCATGAAAGTTCTGGTAGTTATTCATATTATAACTTCCAGTAGTCACTTTTTGCCAGTCATTATGAAGTCTCACCCTACAGATGCATAACTTAGTATTGAGCAAAATCTTCTAGGGGATCAAAAAAAATTATGTAGCTCTTTGTTTGAAATGCTCTCTTCCTTCTGGTATTCAGATTGCAAATTCCAGCTGTCCAGCCTCTGTGAACTCTCATTTTTCTCTCCTCAGCTCAGCAATTATGTTGTTATTTGTTTTCAAATATCGTTCTCTGTTTTATGGTTTGGAAAGCATCTCCAGGAAGAAACGTAGAGTAATTTTAGAACGTATATGGCTTATTTTTCCATTCTTAGGGATCACAGTCTTGCAATACTTTTTGTCCAATATCAGAATACCATATACTCTCTCTTATTGGTGCTTTTGAAAAACAGAAATTAAAAATTTCCATATAGTCTAATTAATCAGTTTTTCCCTTTTCGTACTTCAAAGTAATAAATATATTCTCTTATTTTCTTCTTAAAATTTTTTGTTGTGCTATCTTTCACATTTAGATTTGCAATGTGAAGTAGGGTTCAGTTTTACGTTTATCAAAATAATCCAACTTTTTATTGAAAAGACAACCATTTTCCCCATGGAACTACAGTATTTTCTTTGTTACAAATTAGAAGAGTGATCTGTAAAAGTATTTTTCTCGACTCTATATTCTGTTTCATTCTTTAGTACACCTAATGTTGCTTCAAAACCACTTTGTCTTAAATATTATTGCTAAATAATAAGTATTCATATTGGTAATATAAATCTCCTATATTTGTTCTGTCTGAATTTTTTTCTTTTTGCATTTCAGTACCTTTTAAATTTTGGTATAAATTTTAGAATCAGCTTGTTATTTATGCAAATATATCCCGCTGGGCTTTTTTATTAGGATTGTATTATATCTCTTTATAAATTATGTGGGTGTATATATACATGTGTAGTACATATATATAAATTTGAAGAGGATTTATATCTATGCAATATTAAGAATTCAATCTATTTTTTTGTTTGTTTGTTTTTGAGAGAGGGACTTGCTCTGCCACCCACCCTGCAGTGTAGTGGCATGATCATTGCTCATGGCAGCCTCAATCCCCCTAGGCTCAAGTGGTCCTCCCACCTCAGCCTCCTGGGTAGCTGAAACCACAGGTGTATGCCACCACACCTGGCTAGTTTCTAATTTTTTTTTTTTTTTGAGATAGGGTCTCACTATTTTGCCTAGGCTTAAGTGGTCCTCCCACCTTGGCCTCCCAAAGGGCTGTGATTACAGGTGTGAGCCATTGTGCCTGGTCTCTCTCAATCTATTAATATGTATTTTCAACCTTTTATTTAGATCTTAAAATTCTCTCAGTAATGCTTTGTAGTGTCTAGAGGTTTTTCACTGTTTTATTAGATTTATTCCTAAAATGAATGTTTCTTATATTATTGTGAATGGCATTGTTTATTCATTTCATTTTTCATTTTGCATACTGATACTAAATATAAGAATTTTGATAACTGCACAGTGAATACAGCAATCAAGATGAATTATCTATAACTATATGCAATAAAGTGGATGAATCTCACAAATGTATTAGTAAACAACAGAAGATAGACAAAACAAGGACTCTGATATGATTATACTTACAAGAAGTACAAAAACAGGTGATACAAATCTCTGCTGTTAAATGTCAGGCTAGTGATTACATTTGGGGCATCATCACTATAAACTTCAAATGAGATTATGAACTGACAATGTCCTATTCCTTTATTGGAATGCTGGTTACATGGATGTTTTCAGTAAGTGATAAGTCAGGAAGCTGTACAATTATGTGTATATTTTTGGTGAAAAGTAAACAAAATTAAAAGAGCAGAGATGAATCTAGCGTCCAATTTACTTTTACTACTTACCATACTTCATGTTTTAAAACTTATGTGCTACATAGAGAATAAAAATGGGAAGAATCAATGATGGGGGTGGGGAGAGGTATAAACCTTGGGGGTGGCTTTGCATGATTTGTACACTCTGTATTTCTCAGAAATGCCCAACCTATGACATCTTTCCTTGTTTCGTTTTGAAACAGCTGGCTGTAGTTGACTTCCTTCTAAATTACAAATATTTTTTGACTAGTAAGTCTCTAGGGAGAAGCTGGGATGGGAGCCTCACTGAAAACATATTTGCTTTGCCAGTGACAGTCACGCAAATCCAGAGTAGTGGTGGGAGACAAGGCACTGCTTGGTGGTGACAACAGCTGTTAAGCAGAGGCAACACATAAGGGAGCATAGGTCAAACTTTATGGAAAAATGTTAACACATTAAATTCCAGTTTTATCTTAGGCACTGGGATGGCTTGTACCCTGTCAGGTATGGTATTTACTTGCTAGTAGTTGCCATTAAAAGCATGCTAAATAGCCATGTAATAAGCATTAGATAATTTCATGTTTCAGAATTGCATTTTTTTCTCAGATTAAAAAAAAGCACAAAATATGCAACTGTATTTTGTTCTATATGGTTATTTATTGCTTGCTCTTAGTGGATATATGAAATGAATTGCATTATGACAAACCCATGTGTTTAATAATGAAAAAGCCTTCCAGCAATCTTTCAAGGATTTCAATCAGATTGTTATAAGAATGTTTTTCTGTATCTTCAGGTTTGATCCATATGCATATGGTGAGGATATAGAATTCATCTAAATAACCACAGTACATGTCTACATCAATTTTAGCTCTGTTTTTAATGAATTCTCAGACTTGCTAACAGATCTTAACAAAATTATGGCCAAACAAAATAAATATAATTTCCCTCTCCAATTATAGCCTTAAGAGCTTACGCTAACTCTAAGTAAAAATGCACTAATGTCTAACTTGCACTCTTTTAAATTAAGTAGAAATTCTTTGCAGGAAAAAAACTACCTAAAATAATCCAACTTTATTTAACCTCTGTGATTAAGAGAGCGAAATACATTTTGGACACAGGTATTCTTAGACATCTGGACTTGAGGGGTTTTTCTGTTTTTTTTTTTTTTTGTTTTTTGAGATGGAGTCTCACTCTGTCACCCAGGCTGGAGTGCAGTGGCATGATCTGGACTCACTGCAAGCTCCACATCTCAGGTTCACACCATTCTCCTGCCTCAGCCTCCTGAGTAGCTGGGAATACAAGCGCTCACCACCACTCCCAGCTAATTTTTTGTATTTTTAGTAGAGACAGTGTTTCACCATGTTAGCCTGGATGGTCTTGATCCCCTGACCTCGCAATCCACCCACCTCAGTCTCCCAAAGTGCTGGGATTACAGGCGTGAGCCATGGCGCCCAGCCAGATTTGAGATTTTTAAATGTAAATTAACAAAGAAACATACAACTACATTTGAAAGCTGTCCTTGAACTCAGCCTAATCATTCTACACTTAGTTAAGAATTTATGCTTGGAAAAATCTTTAGTAACAGTTTTTAATCTGCCTAGTTTCTTTCTATCTGTAGTAAATATTAATTCCATAGTAAGTAATCATAATTCCATGATTCTATGTTCGTCTTTCTATGTGTTATCATAAAGTTATGTTTAATATTGCTATTGATTCGCCACTGTAATGGCTGGTAAGAATTTTTGTAACTATGTTCCTTAATGTTACACATCCAAAACATTTAGTGTTGTGATTTAATGTTACACTGCTACAATGTTATTAAGTCATATCCATAAAACTACTTAAATGTTACTGTTACCCAATAATTATTACATATATGGTTCTAGCGCCAGTTTTAATTATTACTTCTATTCTTTTATAGGGAAAACATTTTGAGTACGTTAAATTAATTTTCAGGACCGACATCAGCAAGGTGGTGGAATATGACTTTTCAGCATTTATTCACTTACAGAAACATCCATCAAAACAACTATCCATGTGCAAAAGTATCTTCATAAAAACTAAGGAAACCAGGTGAGAGATCACAGTACCTGACTGTAGCACAGAAATATTAAAAGACACATGGAAGAGGGTAGGAAGGACTGTCAGTTTTACATTACCTGCAACATCCCTTTCCCAACCCCAGGAAGTACAGTATGGAGAAATACCCTCAACTTAGGGGAAAGAGAGGAAAGTGAGTACTGGACTTTGCCCTGGACTCCAAAACCAGGCCTGCCCCAGTAAAACTCACTGCCAGAAAGGTCCCTACAGCCCCGGATTCCAGGTTAGCACCTGAAGATTGAACCTCCAAGCCTGCCTTGGCACAAAGTGGGATCCCACAGCCTTAGACTCTAGGCTTGCCCAGCAGACTTGGCCTCTGGACCTGCCTTGATGTGGGGACTCAACTGGCACTGGAATGGGCCCAAAGCCCAACGTCACTGGGGCCCACCCAGTTGCCCTGGGCTTTGGGCCCGTCCCAGTGCCAATTGAGTCCCTGAATACTGAGGCCCCAGGCCTGCCAGGTTGGCCCCAGAGCTAAGCCAGCCCTGGTGGTCCTAGGCTTCAGATTGCCCTCAACACCAGACTAGCCCCAAGGTACCAAGCTTCAGGCACACCTCAGCACAAACCAAGCCCCACAGTCCTATTCATCAGGTCAGTGCTTATAGACCCAGCTTCTAAACCACCCCCTGAAGATACAAGCTCTAGGTCTGCCCAGCCCCAAGTGATCCCCTGTGGTCCTAGGCTCCAGGCCCACCAGAAATTTCAGAACAGCCCAGAGTCAGGTCAGTCCACATAGCCCAGAAATCAGTCCTGCCCCAGCTCCAGGTTAACTCTCTTGGCCTCAGACACCCATGGACAAAAGCTCCAGGCCTTCCTGTACTAGGCTAGTCCCCATAACCCTACCCTTCAGTCTGACCTCTATGGCCCCACACTTCCCCAGACTCAGGTTCCATACCTGCTCAGCAGACCAAGGCTCATCCCAGTAGACTCCAGCAATGGACAAACCTCCATAAACTCAAAACCCATGACAGTCCCTGTGGACTCATTTTGTAGGCCAACTTTCACAACACAGGGACTCAGGCCAACCCTTGTGTACCTAGCCTTTAGGTCAGCACCTTTATACCCATCCTCCAGGCTAGCTTAAGCAAACCCAGGATCCAATTGAGTCCCCCAGGCTCCAGGCAAGCCCAGTAGCTTCAGGACAGTCCTATGGACTCAGGATCCGGTCCATCCCAGCACATGCCTAGCTCCTGCTGACTCAGGCTCATGTCCCATCCCAATACTAGGTCAGCTCCTGTGAGGCCAGGCTTCATTCTGGCTTCCACAGATACAGGCTCCAGGTCTGCCATCATGGACCCAGCCCTAGGAACACCATATGGACCCAATCCACATGTCCATACCAGTAGATCCAGGATCCACACCTAACTCTGTACACTAGCTCTGGTCCTACTCACCTGCTGACCCATGTACCAGGCTAGCCTTCCTGATGACTGCAGCAGCAAGGCTGCCCATGGGCCACCCCAGACAGCCTGCTTAGAATCTCTAGAAGAGCTGCTTGATGTAAGACATTAAGACATTCTTAAACGAAGCCAGTCTTCAAGGACTAGAATAAATCCTTAATTCTTCCAATACATAGACATTAACGTAAAGCAACAAGAAACAAGGAAAGTCAAATAGACATAGCACTCCCCAAAGCATATAATAATCTCTAAGTTGATCCAAAGATACAAACTGCCTGACAAATAATTCAAAATAACTCATTAAAAAATGCTCACTAAACTTCCATAGGATACAGGGAAACAATTCAATGGAATCAGGAAAACAATAAATTACCAAAAAGAGATATTTACCAAATTACCAAAATTACCAAATTACAAAATTACCAAAAGAGATATTTAACAGACAGATTGAAATTTTAAAACAAACAAACAACAACAACAACAACAAAAATCAAACAGAATTTCTGGGGCAGAAAATTAGAGTGAACGAAATAAAAACCACCAGAGAAAATATCAGTAACAGAATTGATCAAGTAGAAAAAAGATTTATACATGAATTTGAAGACAAGTTATTTGAAAATATACAGTCAGAAGAGAAAAAAATAAAACAAATAAAAAGGAATAAAGAAATTTATTTTTAGAAATTTTTAGGACTTATGGAAAAATATTCAAAGGACAAATTTTCAAGTTGTAAGAGTTCAAGAAGGAGAGAAGAAACAAAGGGTAGAAAGCTTCACAACTTTATTTAAAGAAGCAATAGCATACATTCTCCAAATCCGAAGCAACATAAATATCCAGGTACAAGAAGGTGGAGGTCTCCAATCAAATTCAATCCAAACAAGACTACACCAAGATATATTAATTGAACTGTCAAAAATTAAAGATAAAGAGAGGATCCTGGAAGTATAAAGAGAAAAGAACTAATTCAGATATAAGGGATTTTCAATAAGACTGTCACCTAATTCCTCAGCAAAAATGCCACAGACCAGAAGAGAGTAGCATGACATACTCAAAGCACTGAGGGAAAATACTGACAATAAAGAGTATGTGGCAAAAGCTGTGCTTCAGAAATGAAGAAGACATACATGAAGACTTTTCCAGAGGAACAAAATCTGAGTGTTCATCATTATCAGATCTGTCTTACAAGAAATGCTGAAAGGAATTCTTCCCACTTAAAGAAAAAGACTCTAATAACAGGAAAACAAGTGAAAGTTTACAACTCACTGGTAAAAGTAAGTGCACAGTCAAATAATGAATAATAATTCAGAATAATCCAATACTGTAATGATGGTATGTAAATCACTTAAATTTTCAATATGAAGGTTAAAAGATAAAACCATTAAAAGTAATAATAGCTACAATATTTGTTAAGGGACACACAATTTAATAAGATGTAAATTATGATATCAAATCATATAATGGGGGATGGAGTAGAAGTATAGAGCTATTGTATGTGATAAAAATTAAGTTATTCTTGGCTTAATATATCCTGTTACAACTATAAGGTGTCTTATGTAAGCCTTGTGGTAACCTCAAAGCAAAAACCTATAGTAGATACACAGCAGTTAAAATTAAGAATTCAAAACACACCACTAAAGAAAATCATCTAATCACAAAGGAAGACAGCAAGATTTCTAAAAAAGAGAAAAGAATCTATAAAACTATCAGAAATTAATTAACAAAATGACAGTAGTAAGGTCTTACTCATTAATAATTGCCTTGAAAATACATTGATTAAATTTTCCATCAGAAAATATAGCATTGCTGAATATATATAAAAAAAGACCCAACAATAAGTTGAGACTCATTTCATCTTTAAGAGCAAATATGAACTAAAAGGCAAAGAATGGAAAAAGATTTCCCATGCAAACAGAAACAAAAAGATAGCAGTGGTACACATGCTTATGCCAGATAAAATAAGCTTTAAGTCAAAAACAGTATAAAAAAAGAAAAAAAAGATACAGAAGGTCATTGTATAATGATAAAGGAGTCAGTTCAGCACAATGATATAACAATTATAAATACATATATACATCCAATTATCAGAGCATGTAAATATATAAAGCAAATATTAATAGATGTGGAGAGCTAGACTGTCATGTAAAAATAGTCACGGACTTCAATAACCTGTTTTCAGCAATGGATAGATCATCCAAACAGAAAATCAATCAGGAAACATTGGACTTAAACTACACTTTAGTTCAAGCGGACCTCACAGACATATACAGAATATTTCACCCTATAGCAGTAAAACATACATTCTTCTCAAGCACACATGAAACATTCTCCAGAATAGATTATACTTTAGGCTACCAAAAAAAAAAAAACTCAAAAACTTAAGAAAACTGAATTATATTGACTAATTTTTCTTAGCACAATGGAATAAAACTAGAAATCAGTAACAGAAGAAATTTTAGAAAATTCACATTGAAATTAAACAATATAAACAATCCATGGGTCAAAGAAAAAAAATAGGGAAATTAAAAAATATCCTGAGACAAGCAAAAATGAAAATAAAATATACAAAAATTTATAGAATACAGAAAAGACATCTCTAAGAGGTAAGTTTAAAGCAATAAATGCATATACCAAAAAATAATAAAATGTTAAATAAATAATATTATACCTCAAGAAACTAGAGAAAGAAAACAAAGCCCAACATTAGTGGAGGAGAAAAAAATAATAAATACCAGAACAAAAATAAATGAAATAGAAAATAATCAACAAAACCAAGACAAACCTTTAGCTAGACTAAGGAAAAAAAAGAGAAGACTCAAATAAATAAAATAATAAATTAAAGCAGAGACATTACAGCTGATACCACATTAATATAAGAGATAATAAGAGACTATTATGAACAACTATATGCCAACTAATTGGATAACCTAAAAGAAATGGATAAGTTTCTAGACACATACGACCTACCGGGATGAAATCATAAAGAAATAAATAATCTGAATAAGCCAATAAGGAATAAGGCAATTGAATCATTTATTAAAACTCTCCCATCAAAGAAAAGGCCAGGACCTGATGGCTTCACTGCTGAATTTTATCAAACATTTGAAGAAAAAATAATTCCCATCTTTCTCAAGCGTTTGCAAAAAATTAAAGATCAGGGAAAACTGAATCCAGGAGGCTGAGCTTGCAGTGAGCTGAGATCGCGCCACTGCACTCCAGCCTGGGCAACAGTGCGAGACTCCATCTAAAAAAAATAAATAAATAAAATAAAATAATAATAATAATAATAATAATAATAATAATAATAATAATAATAAAAGAAAAGGAAATTATAGGCCAATATCCCTGATCAATATAGAGGCAAAAAATCCTCAACAAAATGCTAGCAATTCTAATTCAACAGCAAATTTAAGGAATCATTCTCCATGACCAATTGGAATTTACGTTAGGAATGCAAGGGTAGTTCAGCATACACAAATCTGTAACTGAGACACAACAGAGTAAAGGAACAACCTATGTAATGGGAGAAAATATATACAAACTATTCATCTGATAAGAGATTAATATCCCAAGTCTATAATAAATTCAAACAACTCAATGGCAAGAAAACAAATAACACAATTAATAACCCAATGAGCAAATACCTGCATAGACATTTCTCAGAGAAAAACATAACAGTGTCCAACAGGTACGTGAATAAATGCTCAACATCACTAATCATCAGGTAAATGCAGATTGAAACCACAATGAAATATTACCTCACACCTGTTAGGATTAGTCTTATTAAAAATATGAAAGATAAGTATTGATGGGAATGTGGAGAAAAAGGATTCCTTTCACATGGTTTGTGGGAATGCAAATTAGTACAGGCATTATGGAATCAATATGAACGTTCCTCAAAAACTTAGAACAACCATTTGATCCATCCATCTCAATACTGGGTATATGTTAAAAGGAAATGAAATTGGTATTTTGAAGAGATATCTGAACTCCCATGATCATTACAGTGTTACTGACAATAGTCAAGATGTAGAATCAACCTACATGTCCATCAATGCATGAATAAAAAGATGTGGTATATATGTATATAAATAGATACATAAATATATATCTATATCTATATATATATGTATTCTACTGTGTATACACACACACACAGTAGAATACTCTTCAGTCCTAGAAAAGAAAAAAATCCTGTCATATGTGACAATACAAATTAACCTGGAGGACTTTATGTTGAATGAAATAAGCAAGGCGCAGAAACATGAACACTGCATGATCTCACATATGTAGAATCTAAAGAAGCTGAACTCTGAGATGTAAGAGTAGAATGGTGGTTAGCAGGGAATGGGGTGGAACAGGGACGATTGCAGAGATGTTAGTCAAAAAGTATGAAATGTGTCAGGCAGGAGGAATAATTTTAAGAGATGTTCTGTACAATATGGTGATTCTGGTTAATAATGTGTTGTCTTCTTGAAAATTGCCAAGAGAGTAGATTTTTAAGTATTCTCACCACAAAGAAATAAGTATTTGAAGTAATGCACATATTAATTATTTCAACTTAGCCATTCTACAATGAAAATATATTTCAAGACTTCATCTTGTACATAAATATATGCAATTTTTTTCACCTAAAAATAATAAATTAATTTTAAAAATAAAATAAAAACTTTTAAAAAATTTTACAACTCTATCAAGGATAATTTGCTGTAAAATGATTTAAAATTAAATAATAGAGTGATGAGAATTTTAAAATATAAATTCCATGTATTTTAAAATAATGAAAGTCCATATGACAAAATTTTACACTGGTGTAAATACAGGTGAGATTTTTCTGGAGAACAAATACAAACACAAATAGCAAGATATACATCTGCCTTTTTTTGTCCTCTTTGCACATTGCAATTAAAAGCTGTCAGTATGGCAAGCAAGAATAATAATAAAGGCTAAAGTATCAGCTCAAATAATGAGCGGTTTTTCCAGTTTTATCATTTTCCATGAAGTCATAATACTTTAATAGCTGTGAATTGTCGCTGCTGAAAAATCATCTAGAACACTTGCTCAACAGATACTTTTTAAAGCAAGCCAAATCAATTACAACAGATTGAATCAAATTGTACCACTTTTAGTTTTAAAGAGAAAATAACTGTCTCTATATATATAGTTCTATAATCTCAGACGTTAATATATGGCTTGTCTTTACTGAGCAAAGAAGTTTAAACTCTCAAAAAATTCTTTTAACTAGAACTCCAGGTGCAAAATCAAAATAATAATATTCTTAAGGAAAGGTAAAGCTTTTCATTTTCATTGATTCTTACTATGTAGGAATTATTTTATATTTTATCTATTGATCCTCACAAAAGGAAGATATGTCAGGGTGAATTCCAGCCCATCTCAAGAAAGCCAACTCACAACATGTACAAATAAATGCCAGCTCAGACAAATGCAGCTTCAGTACAAAGCAGAACTTTCAGATTTGAAAGAAGAAACTTTTCTAGTGAGTAGTCAATAAGATTTCATTCAAGAAATCAACTCTCTATTTGATATACTGATTAAAGAAGAGGCTAAAAATTCAAACTCTTATTTCCTTAAAAGCCATGAGTGTCTTTGTCTTATCCTAACCCATTCTGATAATGTCCCCTTTTATCTTCTTGTTCTATTATTCCACTTAGAGGAAATGACTTAGTCTCATTGGGACACATTAAAATTGATCTCAAAAATGTATCTATATATCAGGACAAAACCAATTAAGAGGATGAAATATTTTTTAATTTACAGCTGCTTATAAATAGCCCAGGTTAAAAGAAAATACGGAAATAGAAAGCACCTCATCACCACTAATTTCCTTTAACCTATTAAATCTAAGAGGCATGTAGAAGTGCATTTGTAAGTTCCATATAATTAATATTTTTGGGTTTTTATTGCTAGTATGTTTAATATAAATAAAGAATGTAGCCTCTAATTTTAAAAACTTTAATCAACATTTTAAAAATTAGTTTTATTTACTACCAGATGCATTATTATTCTTATAAATATCTACAAACATAAAGTCTATAGTTGCAGGATGAAAACTGACCTTTTCCTATATCTCCATTTAATTGAGTTTGTTAATTATTTAGTGCTGATATCATGAAATATTTAGGAGACAAAAGTTATAAAAATGTGCAACATTATCCAATATAATAAATATATTATGTTGACTTAGAGGCCTACATTATTTATTTAATAACATCGACATTCTTAAGTTCTGTGTTTTTCACAGTAAAGTCCTTAAGGACATATGCAATTCACTAGTAAACCTGAGTGCAATCTCAATTAAATATAAAGTTAAGTGCAATTTTAGATGAAATTGCTATATGTCTACCTCTAAATCTTTAGAAAATTTAGTCATGCAATGCTTTCATTCTAATATTCATTGAGATACATGCTTTATAATGTATTTATCTGATCCATGGCCTGGTGTTAGTAATCTTCATAATGGTGCATTTAAACAAGATGTATTTTGAACATGGGGCTATTATACCAGAGTGTTAATTGGAACAACTACATTTTCAGATTTTTCTAGATAATATACACATTTATAAATACTTTAGTAATTGTTTGACCTAGAAATGACAATGTGAATACTTGAGTGTAGAACTCTGAAACCAGTAATGAAATGGTCCAGCAATATAGAGAAAAGCATGAGAATAAGGAATTGGTCTGAGGTCAATTCCTTAGCTGCTCAAATTCCTTGCTAGTACTCATGGATCCAGAAAGCTGATGTGTATCATCTGGTTGATATTCATTTTTTAGAGCTTCAGAGCTCCTTTAGAGATTTTTCTCTGTTTGTTGAATCTTATTCTGGTTTGGAAGTTCCATAACCTCAAATGTTTGGCAGATAAATGGTCTATGTCCTAAGGGAAGAGTTGTAGCATCAGAGACCTCCAGCCTCCTGCAGGAACACCAAGAAGAAGGTTTCCTGTACCTTATCTTTTTACCCCTTCCTCGTTCTGACAAGTAAAGAGGACTTGGCACATCCATCAAGCTTCGTGGGTATCAGGGAGACCACTTTTAAACTCACAAGAGACTTACGTGGGCCTAACCCATGAGCACCCATAAGCCTACCACATTCTGATCCTCATCTCGGGGCTGTTCAATACTGGTGTCTAGACTCTTGAATAGCCCCCCAGGACTCCAAGAAAGCCAAAGGCTTCACTCCCACTCCACTGCCTGACAGCTCTAGCAGCTGCTTGACTGTAAAGAAGCACATAGATTGGAGTTAGCAGTAGAGGGAAAGCAGAAGATGTCCCAAAAGACGTCCCCAGAAATCTCTCTTAATTTTAGAATAGTTTTTAACAGAATTGATTTATTATAAATCTGTATATTTTGTTGATCATAATACAGCTCATTACAAACCAAGTTCAGATCATAAATCACAATCTTTAAAGAGCTCTTGAAATACGTTTTCTAATTTTTGAGTTAGACACAAGGCTATCCAATAGACGAGCTTACAGCAATTACAATGAATTGATTTACGATTACTAAATGAAAAGTACTAATGATTGAAGAAAGATGGACCTTTTTGAATACAAAGAAATGTTTGATTAAAGTATTTATTTCCAAGTAAAATGGGTACAAGAAACCAAAGAGATCATTTTATTTAGCAGGTGCAAGCAAGCTCTGGGTACAGAAGACCACATCTTGACCTTGAACAATACTTAGCATATGTGCCAGCAGGAGGCTGCAGCACACCCCGAGCGACCACAACCAGATGCAGCTGAGGCAAGGATTCAATTATGGAGAAAAGAGGATCGATCTGTAAAGGCCTTTTAGGTGTTAGCAAGCAAAGCATTATTTGCTGCTTTTAAATTTGCAACGTAATTGAATTTAGTGTGCACCACAGCATACGAAGGAGGGTCTATGTTTAAATTATTTGTGCCAAAGGGGAAATTGTAATTAAAATTTTTTGAACATTATGGACGTGAGAGAAAGAAACCACAAATGAGACCCCCTGACTGTGGCTGCCTCCATTGTAAATTGTGAAGCTGCATAAGAACACATCAAATGCTATTCTCTGAGAGATAAAGATATAGGCGTGCGTAAATTGATACTTTCTCCAAAGAGAGAAAATGAATGGTGCCAAGTTTTTCTCAACTCAACCTTAGTTCTCAGTGGATTTTGGACAACTGTCATAAACAATCGAACAGCCTGGTAAGACTAAACACAAGAATGTGCTCCGTATCTACATTGCTTCATTCAAAGTCCATGTAACTTGTATTATGATCTTTGGTAATGCTTTCAGAAACAGAACATAATTTGACTAGCTATAACTGCTATTCATATAAGGACTGGCAAATCTAACCTCAGTAAGCAGGGGTCAGTACTGTGATAATCTTGTATGTCCTATCAAATTTTTGACTCTTAAATAGTAAGGCTCAAAGGAGATTTGGAGTTGAACAAATATAATTTCTGAGTACCTGAAGGAACTACACTTGCTTGAGTTAGAGACAGCACAGGTTGCTACTAAAATAATTCCAATGTATATAAAATGAGACCCTAATTTGTGGTTTCAGCTTGTTAAGGACTGAATTACGTTCACCCCAGAATTTATATTTATAACCCCCAATACCCCTGACTGTGACCATAGAGGGTCTTTACAGGTATGATTAAGTTAAAATGAGTTAATTAAGGTTGGTCCTAATCTAAAATCACTGGTATCCTTATAAGAAGAGGAAATTTGGACATAGACATGTACAGAGGGAAGAGGATGTGAAAACAAGGCAGAAGAGTGCTATCTATAAGCCAAACAGAGAGAACTGGTACAGAGTCCTCCTCCACCTGCTTTAGAAGGAACCAACTCTGCTATCACCTTGAAACGAGTTTGTCAAAAATTCCGTGGAAAGTACATTTGGTCATTTTTGCTTTCCTTTCTACCTAAGTAGGGGAGAGACTAAATAAGTTTTCCCTCTCTGCAAACTTAAAGTTTCCCTCCGACAGGTTGTTTCATGGTGTAATAATCAGCTCTGGCTGCCATAACAAAATGTCATAGACTGGGTGATTTAAACAACAGAGACCTATTTTTCCAAGTTCTGGATGCTAAAAGTCTGAGATCGGGGTGCCAGCATGATCTGGTTTGGTGAGGGATCTTTTCCTGGCCTATAGAAAGCTGCCTTCTCACAGTGTCCTCACATGGCAGAGACAGAGTGTGCTTCTTCTTACAAGGGCACTACTAATTCCTTCATGAGGTCTCCAACCTTATGACCTGATCTAAACCTAATTATCTCCCAAAGGCCCCATCTCCATATACCATCATATTGGGGATTAGGGCTTCAACATATGAGTTTGGGTGGTGGGGCATACAATTCAGTCATAGCAGATGGCCTCCATTGAAGGGGGCTGGAGAGTAGTAAGCCCATTCTGATACCCAGGTATATCTTTCCAGGAACATTCTTGTCATTTAGGTTTTCCATCTCTTGACTCTTGTTATTTTCTCAATTGTTTCAGAAATTAGGTAGCCCAAAAGTGGGAATGCTGGATCATATGGTTGTTTTATGATTTTAATTTCTTGAGGGACCCCCATACTGTTTCCCACAGTGGCTGCAGTAATTTACATTCCAACCAATAGTGCACAAGGAGAATACAGGTGCTATTTATTGGGTCTCTCAAGGTCTCCAGGAAAGTACAACCTAATTTTAGATTAGACTGATGGAAAGGAGACTGAGCTCTGCTTTGAAGTTAATGAAAGTTTGTATGATAATCACAAATTCCAATTTCTTTTTCAAACTGCCAAAATCAATTCTTTTTCTGCCTTGTCCATTTTCCTGAGACACTGCTCAGTTCCCTGAGACATTAACGAGGCCTTGATAAACATCATATTTAAGAATATCACCCGGATTAACTTTGCCCTAGAGTTGTTTTCACTTCCAAGACTTTCTTTTGATGTGTATTGTACCAGGAACAGATGAACAAACCACATTTGGGATTGTTAAACTATTTCTCAAAATATTTTTCAAATTTTTAAAAACCAAAATGCATCCTCATAAACACTTTTCCCATTAAAGCAATGTGTGTTGTAGAGAAAATTCTTTCCATATGGTTCTGATTCGTTTACACTTAACTCATCAAAAAGCTGTTTAGGGAAAAAAAATACTTGATTGCCTAGGAAATTGTTTTCATCTTTTTATTTTAAAAACAGAATAAGTTATCCAGAGTAAACAAAATTTAAAGTGGACAGTTGATATCTGAATTCCATTTTGGTGTTCTAAGCTTCATTGTTCTACACTCAAGAATTCACATTGCCATATCCAGACCAAACAATTACTGCAGTATCTATAAATGTGTATTGCTCTCTAGAAAAATACAAAGATGTAGTTGTTGTCCCATATACCACTGTTATAATAACCTATTCTGAAAATATAACTCAGTTAAAACACAATATAACGAAGATTACTAAAACCAGGTCCCAGATTAAATAAGTGCATTACTAAAACATGTGTTTCAAAGAATACTGGAATAAAAATATTGATAGTGCTAACTTCTATAGGGATTTGGAGATGAAAACAATAATTTAATATGAAGTTATACTTATTTTATACTTGAAATTGAGCTCAGGTTTACCAGTGATGAATAGAGTATGTCCTTAAGGGCTGTTCTTAACTCTTGAAACAACTCACAACTTGGGAATGTGAATGTTATTGAATCAGAAATGGGTCTTACCAATAAACTTTGAAAGATAATAAAAACTGATATTGAAGTGTACCTCCAAAATTATGATTTTTAACACATTTTGGAAAGTTAATATATTCTAACCAGAGAGGCCACATTTCAGCTTTACTACCTTGTGAGTTATCACACAAATGCACATTAGCAACACTATAATATTTCATGGAAGGCACAAATTAGAATGACATGTTGAAAAATGTTTTAATATTTAATCATAATTAAATAAGGCCATGAGTACCTAACTTCAAACTTTTAGTTGTAAATTGAATCAATTCAGATATCAATTATATGCAAATGGATACAATTTGCAATATTCAGATGATTAACATGGTATAGGCATACTACTAGTGGGATATTAACTTTTTTTTAATAATCAGGTTATGTAGGGAATAGAGAAGTTCTTCTTCAAAGTTGCCTAAATCCATAAAAGGTGTATCATTCCCTGGTTAAATGTTTGAATGTGCATATTCTGAGGTGGCTCCAACATGTTCCAGCCAGTTGAGATAAGGCTAAATGAGTCCCGGATCCAGATGCATGACATTCCTTATTTGGGAACCCCTCTGACCTCTTATCATTAATTTCCTCTTTCTTTGTCCTCTTTTCCCTTCTGCCTATTTAGGAAAGCTTAAGATTTTTAGCCAATCAAGTTAAGTTTAGAGTGTGAGGTCCCACCCCAGCCAATGGGAACAGGACACAGCCATAGAGGATTGCATCAAGACGTAAAAGTTATAAATGTCCTTGTTTCCTTTGTTTGGTATGCTCTCCTTACTAGACAGCTGACGAGTGCACCCTTTCTGCAGAAAGTAAACTAGCCTTGCTGAAGAATCCTTTGTCTCGGTGTTGATCTTTCAGGACATCGAACACCCTTGCCCAACAGGTTATTAATCATTATATTCCTCCAGATTATTTGTACCAATAGATTAACAACATTCAAAGATGTGAAATAGAAATTAATGAAGAAAAATTATCTCCTCAGCAGAGTATGGTCAGTTATGTTCTGTAAAACATGTATATAAACAAACATCTGCCTCCTAACAGATTTCTTTTGTAAAATCATACTAAATAATTATGACAGTCATTTTGAATGTCTATATATTTTCAATCAAAATTGTCTTGCCTTTTAGAAATGCTGTCTTAATCTTTTACACAGGAAAACTGAGGATCAGAGCAGTAATGTAACTTCTGAAGCTAATACAAAACTAGGTTTGCCTTGAAACAAAGTCTGGATTGTTCTAATGAATAAGTTCTTCGCAGTATAATGCTATTTCTCTCAAATCTCTTAATTAGAGTCTGAGATAATTTTCTCTTTAACAGGGACTGCTGCATATTTTTACAAGTTATTCCTGGCTAAAATTCAGTAACATGCATAACTTTGTAAGATGTTTTTCTTTAAAGGCATAGTTTCACATTTACTTATTATTAATATATAACAAAAATTGACAAAATACAGCTCATAAGTAAAATCTATCTTTCCACCTATTTTTTGTACAGCTTGGGAAATAAGAATGGTTTTAATACTTTTAAATGACTAAAAAAAAAGAATAATATTTCATGATGTGAAAGTTATATGAAATTTGAATTTCAATATCCGTAAATAATGTTTTATTGGAACACAGCCACACTCATTTGCTCATTGTCCATTGCTGTTTCTGTGCTACAATGACAAAATTAAGTAATTTCCATAATGACTATATGGCCTGGAAAACCTAAAATATTTATGACCTGGCCCATTACAGAAACATTTTCTGATCCTTGATATATAATAATATATTAATAGTATATGCAATTTACCATTTAAATAATATGATCACCATTTTAATAATATGAGCCAAGTTCTTAAAAAAATTAAATGGTAAAAATAAACTTGGAATAAATTGGAATAAATGGTAATTAAGCTAAAATATAATTACATATAGGTCTTTAAGGCAATGTGATATTATCCATTATTTAAATTTGTTATTCTATATGCTACCTTATATTTACACAACTTTTGATTCCTAAGTGTTATTATGTGACATCATTGGTAGAGGGGGTAGCTTCACAGAGAAAACTACTAATTTGGATATTCAAAAAGTGAAAGTACCTTTGATTCTCTAAGAAGAATTATTTGCACATACGTGAAAAAGTTGTAAGAAAAGAAAGTTGTCCTTAATAAGATTTAAAATGTCTGACTTGGTTTGGGTTTAGTAGAAAGAGTTACATGTAGCAAATTAACTGGAAATCAAATATGTGAAACTAATGGGAAAAATATAAAAGAATTGCATTAGTTAGCATGTTTTCCAGCTAGAAAATAAGCACTGTGGCTTTGTCTTTCTCTTTCATTGTGTAAAATATGAGTTATGGGGCAGGAGATCATCTTGCAGAAATGAAAATAATTTATTTTAATAGAAAAGATATTCTTTGGTCAAAACTGTATGCACATTAGCTTCCACAGCAAATTTTGATTACAATGATGTACTACCCTGCAAATAATGGGTACCATATAACACTTAGCATGAAACTGTCAACTTTCATCATTTAGCTTTTATTTAGAAACCACAAACATTTAGAATCAAAATGTATGAACTAATATAAGATCTGTTGTTGTTATTTATTTAAAAGTCTGGGAAAAGGCACACTTACAAAGCTAATGGTAATAAAATACAATGAGGTATACTGAATGTATTTCCTAGGGCTATTTGTGTGTCTAGCACAGGAGTCTAAAGAGAGAGGAAGCGTGTGTATCCTACCACCTTCACATTAACCTAATTCCAGTGTTCCTCAGAGGCTTCTATTTGAATAGAAGGCTCATGATTTATTTTGTCCTCTTTTATAAAAGGTTTATGAACATTTACATCAACTGAACTCGGGCATATAGTACTGTGATTAAATTGGTTTTCCCGAAAAAGTAGTCAATGTAGATCACTGTAGCACAACCATACAATAGAACTATATAGACAACAAAATAGAAGTATAATATGTAATCAAAATAAAAAATAAAAATAAATAAATTATTGGTACCTATGAGCAAGTTTCATAGCTTATCATATTTTCATTCACATAAAGCATACACAATATAAGTAAATTTTATTTTTAAGCAAATTTGGGGTGTAGTAGAGATCATTTCATTACACAATTATTGACAGTAATTTTGAACTTTTTTAAAAATATAAAATATTATTTCCCTTGTGTTAATGAATTATATGCTACATTTCTTTCATAGAAAAATAACTTCTAGATTTATAATATAATCTATTAATCCTGAAAAAAGATATCATATAAAGATAGGTAAATTAATATATGATTATTAACACGGTGTGTAACACATATAAAAATTCACAAATATGCTCACCAATGAAGTCATCTCTGGTACTGTAAAACATTTATTGGTACATTTATAGTAAATACTGGCAACAAAAAGAAACCCAAATTGTAAGATAAATATTAAAATCAAAGTGAGACAGAAAAGAAAAGTAAATACATCAGTAAAACATTGCCAAATACAACAAAATAAATTAAATTTGAATGGATTTCTATACAGAACACCAACAACTTATGTAGACAAATGTGTCAGTAAAATAAGTACAAAACACACAAAATAATAAATCTGAACACTTCAAATACCATCATGAATGAAGTAAAAATAAGTATTTCATTAAGTGTTCACATCAAGAAACAGGAAAAAAGTAAGTAAATTACAATAAACACAGCTTAAGCCCATTGATAGCAAGTGCTGCCATTATTTTGCACAATGGATTATAGTTATAGTACATTTAAATCTAAATCAAACATACCAGGTAAATAGCATAGAATAAATAAACACAATTGGGATGTTAAATTCATGTCTTCACCATGATAATTTTTACCATTCTCATTCTAAAAACAGTTACATCATCACTGGTCACAGAGATCAATAGACCTTTTACTTTTAAAGCTTAATATTCATTCCTAATATGGGTGTACTGGATTTATGAAAGTTTATGAAAGCTTTTAGAAAGCAGCAGACTAAAGAAAAATGTGTTTAATATAACAGTAATAAAATAATAAACATACAGACTTAAGTAATACAATATACATAGAGTGTGTAATATCACATCTCAATAATATTCCATCATATGGATATACAACAGTTTGCCTGTACATTCACCTATATTGAAGGACATCTTGGTTGCTTCCAGTTTTTTGGTGATTATGAATAATTCTACTATAAATATTCATGCACAGGTTTTGTGTGGAGTTGAGTTTTCAGTTCATTTGGGTACATACCAAGGAGTGCAATTACTGCATCATATGGTAAGAGTATGTTTAGCTTTGTAAGAAACTGCCAAACTGTCTTCCAAAGTGCCTGAGCCATTTTGTATTTCCACTAGCAGTGAAAGCTCTTATTCCTCTGCATCCTCCCCAGAATTTAATTTGTCAGCTTTTTGTATTTTAGTCATTCTAGTAGCTGTGTACTGGTATCTTGCTGTTGCTTTGATTTGATAAGAAGGCAGCTTTGTCTGAAATTAATACAATTAATCCAGTTTTTCTTTGACTTACGTTATCATGGTATATCTCTACATCCTTTTATTTTTTGGTTACCTGAGTCATTATATTTAAAGTGAATCTCATGTAAAAATAGATGGTTGGCCTTTTGAAAAACCTACTCTGACAAATCTATAATCAATTGATACATTTAGACTATTCACATTTAAAGTATTATTGATAGAGTTGGATTAATGTCCACTGTGTTTGCAACTATTTTCTATGTATTCATTGCATTTTTAAAAGTTTTTGCCTTATTTTTCCTCTTCTCTGGTTTTACTTTTAATTTTTAAAAATTTTATATTTATTTTAGATTCAGGGATACATGTGCAGATTTATTACAAGAGTATATTGTGTGATGCTGAGATTTGGGCTTTTGTTGATCCTGTCACCCAGATAGTGAACATAGTTCCTAATGGGAAGATTTTCAGCCCTTGCTCCACACCCTGCCTCCCTACTTTCAGAGTCCCCAGTGTCTGTTGTTTCTATCTTTATGTCTATCTTCATGTCCATGTGTACCCCAGATTTAGCTCCTACTTATAAGTGATAACAGGAAATATTTGGTTTTCTGTTTCTGCATTAATTCACTAGGATAAGAGCCTCCAGTTGCATCTGTGTTGCTGCAAAGGGTATGATTTTCATGACTGCATAGTATTCCATGGTATATGTGTAACACGTTTTCTTTATCCAATCCACCATTGATGGGCACCTACATTGACTGCATGTATTTGCTATTGTGAATAGCACTGCAATAACTGAGCATTTTGGAGGGTGGGGTGGGAATGGTGTCTTGCTCTGTCACCAAGGCTGGAATGCAGTGGCGTGATATTGGCTCACTGCAGCCTCTGCCTCTCGGATTCATGCAATTCTCATGCCTCAAACACCCAAGTAGCTGGGATTACAGGTGCACACCACCATGACCAGCTAATTTTTGTACTTTTATTAGAGACAGGGGTTTGCTATGTTGACAAGGCTGGTCTTGAACTCCTGGCCTCAAGTGATCTGCCAACCTCTGCTTCCCAAAGTGCTGGGATTACAGGCATGGGCCACTGCATCCAGCCTGATTGAGCATTTTATGTGATGTAGTTATACCTCTACTCTTAGCATATTAATTATGTTTAAAAAAAGAAACAGTGGTTTTTCTAAGCACGTAATACATATTGTCAAAAGTTTCCCTTGCAACAGCACTATACCACTTCAAGTGTAGTGCATGTACTTTTTAAAGTATTCCCAGTTCCTTCCTCTTGACCCTTATAACATTGTTATCGTTCTTGCAACTTATCCATGTGATAACAGCTAATACATTGTTAGTAATATTATTTTGACAATTATCTCTTAAACTGATTAATAATAAAAAAATTACCTTCATTTATTCCTTGTTTTATACTCTTCCTTCTATTACCTAGGATTTCTGTCTTACTACATTTTCTTTCTCCCTGAATAACTTCTTTTCATGTTTCTTTTAAGGGAGGTCTGTTGGTGATAAATTCCCAAAGTTTCAGTGTAGGAAAGTCTTTATATCTCTTTCACTTTTAAAACATACTTTTATTGAATATAGAATTCTAGGCTCTTTTTTTTTCTTTTAACACTTTAAATATTTCACTCACTCTCCGCTTGCTTGCAAGGTTTCTGAAGAGAAGTTCACAGTAATTATTATCTTTTTTTCCTCTACTATAAGTAAGTTGATTTACTCCTCTGGCTTCTTTCAAACTTTTCTGGTTTTAGTTTTCTGCAGTTTGAACATGGTATGACTTGGTATAGATTTTTTTTTTTAATCCTGCTTTGTGTTCTCTGGGGCTCCAGAATCTGGAGTTTGGCATATGCCATTAAATTTGGAAATTTTCTCCTATTTTTTTTTAAGTATTTCCTATGCTCCTTTCTGTATTTTCCTTCTGACATTCCCGATTATCCATATGTTACATCTTTTGAAATTGTCCCACAGTTCTTGGATGCTCTATTCTTTCCTGTTTTTCATACGTTTCTCTCTTTGCATGTCGGTTTTGTAGGTTCCTATTGACCTAACTTGAAGTTCACTCATTCTTCTCTCAGCATGCTGAGTTTACTGATGGCTCCATCAAGGGTATTTTTTTGTTTTTATTACAGCGTCTTGATATCTAGTATTTTCTTTGATTTATTCTTAGAATTTTCACCTCTCCACATATATTGCCTGTGTGTTCTTGCATACTGTCTACTCTTTCCATGAAAACCCTTAAAATATTAGTCAGTATTATTCAAAATTCTTGGTCTGATGACGCCAATGTCTGTATCCATCTGAATCTGGTTTTGATGCTTACTTTGTTACTTCAGACTATGTTTTCCTTGCCTTTTCCCTTGTCTTGTAATTTGCTGTTGAAAACACTACAGAGTATATTGGCCAATAAGAACTAGGGTAAATTGGGCCAGGAGCGCTGGCTCACGCCTGTAATCCCAGCACTTTGGGAGGCCGAGGCGGGCGGATCATGAGGTCAGGAGACCTAGACCATCCTTGCTAACACGATGAAACCCTGTTTCTACTAAAAATACAAAAAATTAGCCAGGTGTGGTGGCAGGCGCCTGTAGTCCCAGCTACTCGGGAGGCTGAGGCAGGAGAATGGCGTGAACCCACGAGGCGGAGCTTGCAGTGAGCTGAGATCACATCACTGCACTCCAGCCTGGGCAACAGAGTGAGACTCCGTCTCAAAAAAAAAAAAAAAAAATAAGAACTATGGTAAATTGGCTTTAATGTGAGGTTTTTTGTTAATCTGGCTAAGACTCAGGGTATGTTCGATGTTTGATGTAGCTGTAGATGGCAGAGACTTCAAGTCTCTCTAGTGTCCTTGTTCCTGTCTCTCGTTTTATCTTTGGACTTCCCTAAGTACTTCCTAGAAAGTGTCTATATTTTGCAGCTCTTTCAACTGTACTCCTCTGTTACTACACTAGTGTCCTGTTGGTGTGCTGGTAAGGTGTGGGAGAGGAAAATATCGTGTAATGTTATGATTATGTCTCCGTCTTTTTGTTGCTGTCATGGGACTGTGACATTCATAAGTGTTTTCTAGCTTCACCTACCCCCTGCGGGGAAACAGAAAAGCTAGCTAGGGCTGGAGTTAGAGAAATGTCCTTTCCCCAGATGGGATAAAGCTCTGGTAAAGTCTCCTGCAAAGTAGGCCTTGTTTATTAGAGAATGCTCTGGGCACATTTCACAATGACTACTCTTCCCCTTCTTTTGATAGAGCCAAGAGGAGAATCTTTTGTGGCTCTTCACTATATGAAAACAGTAGGGTTCCTAAAGGTAAATCTATAGAAGTATGTTCTCCACTCTCAGACTGCAGGTCTAGATATTTCTCACTCTCAAGTTCATTCACTCTCAGCTTTTAGGAAATGAGCAAAATTGCAATTTGAATGTTACCACCAGTGGTGACTTCAATGGCTTCTGCTCCAGGTAAGCAGACCCTGGCTGTGACTCTGTATTAACCTATCTCTGCAGATTTTGGAGTGGCAGTTTGCCCTGCAAATTCAGTACTCATAGATCCAAGAAGAACCATTGATTTTCAGTTTGTTTAGCTTTTTCTTGTTGTAAGCATGGGAGTGACCACTTCCAAGCTTTTTACGTTTCAGAGATGAAGCTAGAACTGATTTATTTTTAGTAATGGATAAATTAAGTTGTCCATACTGATCTAATTTACTGAATCTGCTCAGCTAGATTAATATAATTCTTCATTCTTCTTCAAAATCTAAGCATTTTTAGAACATTAAAATCAAAGAGAGGATAAATTATCTTCTAACTTTCTAATTCAGTTTCAAGATGTGTAAAATAGGAGTGTGTCTTGCTTTGCCCTTTTAAGTACAGTCATGCTCCTCATACTGATGCGGAGGCCAATGACACTGTAGCTTTTCTATTTTTGGTATACAAATTATTTCCACTGTGCTACAATTGCCTAAAGTATCAGTAAAGTAACATACTGCGCAGATTTGTAGCCTCAGAGCAATAGGCAATACCATATAGTATGGATGGGTAGTAGGTATAACATCTAGGTTTGTGTAAGTACACTCTGATGTTTGCACAATAACAAAATTGTCAAAGAAGCATTTCTCAGAACATTTTCCTATTGTTAAGTGACACATGACTGTATTTTAAAATAACTCAATGAATTTTATATAATACGAATAGATGACCTATAACACTTGCAAAGGAAAATAATTTTAAAAAAACTTGATTTATCAAATGTGCTCAATAAGAAAAAATCTCTGCATTTATTTCATTTTTGTAGCCAAGAGCAAGTTAACAGTATTTTAAATTTCTTCCAGATTCTCCTGAATGTCAAAAGGAGTGCAAATAATAGCTTATAGCAAGTCTGTAAGTCCTCTCTTTCTGTTCATCGATTTCTTATTCATCTGCAATTCTTAAATCTATCTCACCTTTGCTTTAACTTAAATAAGACTCTCTTAAGCAAATCATACAGTATCAGGTTCTGGCCTTTATTCCTCTTCCAATTCCTTCTTTTGCTTTACAACTCACTTATACCTTAGTCCTGTCTAGTACTTTTAATTTTCCAATAAAAATACTTTTACTTTCTTATTTCTATTTGCTTCAGTTCTTAGGGTAACAGGAAACAGGCTGAAGATTCACACGTTATATATTTTGATCTCCAGTGCACATTTATAGAGATTTTTCCCCAGAAACCATTGCTTCATTTACCAAATCATTACATTCTGTAAGGAGGTCAATTATCTTCCTTAAATAACAGCAACACAATTTTAAAACTATGAATCAGCAAATAATATTACAGTGATAATATCAGAAGTTCCATAATATAATAAATTCACACTTCAAATTGACCATACTAATTTATACCATGGTAAGTCAAATCACCTAGTTAACTGGGATACATTTCAAAGACCTCAGCCTATCAGGCCTTCAAAAGGAATGTAGCTCAACTAAGACCATCACAGAAAACGATGTGTTCTTAGAGTCAAATAAGAAAACAGGAAAATATTTCTTGCGTTTTTAAATATAACATTGACAATGAATGTGTTCTTTGTTTATCTTATACCTTTTACTCTGGCTTCCTAGACCTTTATCATCTGATGTTCCCAACTATAGGCTCAGACACTCCCAATTTCTTCTATATTCCCTGACAAAAGTAAAATATTTTACAATTGCCTCAGACTTGTTGGAATCCACCTGCCTCTGTCACAATTTCTATAATGTCTCCACTCTAATTCCTTTCAGAATTCAGTGAGCCCTAAAGGTGCCCCTCCAATAGACTTTGAATGCATTCTACACTTGTCCAACTCCCAGGATTGAGTTTCTGCTTACCCTTTCTTCCCATTGTACCACTGATTACATTACTACCCCATTTTCTACAGGCCTGGACTCTTTTCCTGATATACCACCAGTGTTTGAATCCTTAGTGCCCTGCTTGACTTTGGCCAGTTACTTTTTCTGGAAATAGAAATGCTGGATTTCTGTCTATTTACTCTGACCCATCAATGGATGAACCCAAGTTCCTGAAATTCCATCATCCTTTCAACTATGACCCAAATTATGTCCACATTGCTCTTTTTGTGGCACTCACTGGCCTCAGGCAAAGTTCTTTTAGTGTCAGAGATAAATCTGGATCACGTTCATAAGTATAATTTGATTCTACCCCAACTGCAAAACAAAAACAAAAGCAAAAACAAAACAAACACCCTGTAATCACTTTCATTGCCTTCTTTATTTTCTTTATAAACATTCAGCTTTGTTTTCAGTTTCTCCTCTCCAAAGCATATGGATTATCTTCAAACATTATGGTCAATAATTTGCACTTCCTATTTTCATCACCTAGTTTGACCTTGCACAGCTCGTTATTAGGACTCTGTTAAAACTTCAGTTTAGAGAATTAATATCTAAAAGCTTATTATGTTTAGAGCATTCTATCATTTAATCTGTCTAGGTGTTCTAAATTCTATTTCTCAAGCAAGTTATATGACCTGAAAGCTATGTACCTGGAAGTCATTAGTTCTCCTTGCAACATAAAACACCTTCTATAATATGCATTTTAGTGTTATGTTCTCAGGTTTTATTGAAAGTCCATATAGATACTAACCATAAAAACAGTGTTTTGTATATGCTTTAAAGCATTCCTAAGATTCATTTCAACTAACAATTACTGGATGGCTAACAAAAACCGGATACCACTTAAGGCACCAGTGATACAAAATAGATAAATAAGTCTATTTCTCTACCTTCAATGTATTTATAGCCAAAGAATTGGAAAAGGATTGTATATAAACTAATAGGCATGTTTCATAATTTCCATTTAATAATGTTTTATATGATAAATCATTTTATTAAATTAATAATTTACCATTAAATACATGTTTTAAATTAGAAAATATGTTTTCTCTCATTAAATAATAGACATATACACTTTCTACCATAGATTAGCTATTAGAAGGATAGAATTTTATTGTAAACCCATACTAAGAAATTTATTAGCTTCAGTAATAGGAAGGTTTGAGTTCCTCTTCATATTCATTTTCTCATATTGTATGTATAGCCTTATTGTATGTATGGTAAAATACAGTATTTCTTAATCATTACAAGCAAAAATAAGTGCATTTCTAAAATACATATTCACAACTTTAATATCACTTTATATAGTCTGTTATAATAGAATGTTGATAACTCATCTTATTAATAGTATACCTAAAAATTAATCAAACTCATCATTTGATATTAGTCCACAATGGTACTTTTCAATTTAGCCGCTTTTTTTTTTTCATGTAGGAAATGTTTAGGTAAATATACTTTGTAAACTAACTGCATAATAAAGTGCCCCAGGTTTGTCATCATAGATTCAGATTCATATTTAATTATAGTCACTATATTTTTTAAAAATTCACATAGTCAACCAGTATCCAGGAAATAAAAACATACTGAAACAAACTTTGGAAAATTCTTGACTCACGAAAATTTTAACTATGTCAATTAGCTATTTGATAATAACTATTATCAAAGATGTATGCTTCTGTTCAGTCATTCCTTAAATAAGCATTATGTTGATATCCTAAAGCTATTTTATAATCATTGAAGTATAAGTAAAGTGCTCATAATATTGAAAAAAATGAGCAAAAATTTTACTTTTCATCCCGATACTCAAACTTATTTGATGTATAAAAAATTAAAAATTTGTCCCTATAGACTTTCTGAATGGTAGAAAAAAAGAGGTTAAGAAGCAATTTATAGCTAACTCTCTTGAGGAGAGTATAATGAAGAACCAAGGAATATTTAAAATTTGGGATATATTTAATAATGTATTCCTTTTGCATTTTAACGTACTTAAATAATACAAGAGTATTTTGCTTATTTTATGCTAAAAATGCAAATGCTATTTATTACTCTTAAGAGAGAAAATTGTGTAAGCTTTAAAAGATGGGGATTAATTATTGCATTTATTCATTTCATTATAGGATTTATTTACTTACTTGTTATAATTAATTCTTTAGAGATCACTGAGCTTTAGGAGAGAAAGTATTATATTATAATATATGGTAAGATTATATGGTAATTCTAAAGCCTAGGAATTGACCTAGCTTATCAACTACAAAAACTAAAGTATTGTCTATTTATCCACTGGAAATATATATTTCCAAGAATAGTTATGTTATATAAATATATTAACTGACATGGAAAGAGTCACAATATGTGGTTACATGATAAAAAGCAGACTACAAAGCATGTATACGAGATTTTTTTATTTGCACAAAAAGTATATATGAATAAATCTAGAGCAGTGATATACGCAGAAATACATTCATAGAGTCACGTACCATGCTAGTTTAAATGTAATCCTAATCACTGACTCAGACTTGCTGAATAATTATTTTAGGGCTGGAGTTTAGCAAATTTTATCCTAACTAGCTTTTCTATATTTCATACTCACTATACTTTCACAACTACTAGTCTAGGAATGAAGGTCATAAACATGAAAAAAGTATGTAACTTTTTATTTCTAATTAAATAGATGTGTAAGAGTAACAACGTTGAATTCCTGCATATTTATGCCAAATTTAGCTATTTTTCCTTCCTGATTCTTCAATACCTAGGAAGCCAGAGATGATGTACCAATATATTTTAAAAGTAAAAAGTGGGTTGAAGAAAAGTTGTAAAATACATACAAGTACGTTGACCTGTAAGTGAAGCTAATCTAACAAACATGTCAAATCAGTCTTCTTTTTAACTCTACAATATTTGTGTATAGGCTATATTTCTGCCACTCATCTCTCTTTCTCTCTCTGTCTCTCTCTCTCACACACATACACACACAATTATTTTCACTTCCTTACTTTATGTCATTATATCAATTTTCCATGGAGAGAGAGGCTGATAGCTTTACAATAGCTTCCCTTGCACATGAAGTCAGGAAATTAAGTGAAGGTTTTTAATTGCAAAAAACTATCAGATCTCTTATATTACAACTTAGCCATTTTCCCTAACAACAAGTATTAATGACCTCTTTGCTTAATGAAAATTAATTGCTATTCCGCCTTAACAATTACATTGTGATTGATCAAATTTATAAAACCTGCAAGGGTCATTTGCTTTAATTCTACTTCAATCCATTAAATCTCCAGCAGATGATAACCTTTAACTTATTCACATATTAGGAAATTTTAATGGCAGTTCTAGGTGTCACTATTTATATAAAAAGTTATACATCAAATTGCCTCCTTTTCTTAGCTCAATTAAAGTGGTTTGTCTCTACTGATGTAAGACATTTCCAATCCACCAGAGTGACTTCAGAGCTAAAACATTTACATTACATTTTTTTATTCACATTACCAACAATAACTAAGAAAAATTAATGTTGGTTTGCTGTCAAGCTAGTAGCAAATAAAAAATGATAGTTTAATATGATAAACTTTTTCCATAAAAAAACATATTATGTATCTTTTAAAAATATATTATTTACTTCAAATAACAAGAAGAGAAGATATGAGTTTATACCTATCAGAAAGGCAAAAATGCAAAAAGATGGATAATACTATTAGATAGAGTGTGAAGAGATGGGGGTCAATTGTGTTTTGTATGTGGCAGTCTAGACACTACTGCCAATCTAGAAAGTCCTCTATTTCCAGCAGCTCTAGGGTATGAACTATATATGCTCTATTTCCAGCAGCACTATATATGAACCAATGATCTTACTCCTGAATACATATCCCAGAGAAGTATTACAAAGTCCATACAAAGTGAGGGGTACCAAAAAATGGATGCTGAGCCACTGTTTGTGTCAGCATGAAGTTTGGGGGCAATTTGTGCTCATCATTAGGAGAATGGATAAGTAAATGATTAAAGAAAAAGAATAAAATATGAGACTTTAGACTGTGAAATATGAAGACTATTTACAATACTATATAAGAAAAATGTTATTTATTAATTCACTTATTGTAATGCATATTATCACTTTTTTATTGACCTTATGTTTGAGTCAACTCAGTTTCACATTAAACTGAGGAATCCTACCAAAAGGTTGATTTTTCCCTTTTGTGTTGTTTTACTCACTTTGAGACTTCTTATGTCTTACATACTTCCTGTGCTTGCTCATGTGAAAGAATTTGCTGATTTTTTTCTCTTTCATTTGGTGTATATTCTCTTTCTTCTATCCATCCAGGAGGTCAAGATTAAGGCCAACACTCTCCATAACTTCCCTGATTCTATCCCTAAAGACATTTCTTTTCTTTGAACTTCTATAGCACTACTAACCTACATTACATCTAATATTACTCTTATTACAACAGCTTTATGTCATTAATTTGTTAGTTCTCTACAAGATTTCTGATGACTGAGACCAGATCTCATGTTGTCCATGCCCCTTACTTTTCTTGGCATATGGCTGAACACATTATGAATATTTAAGAAATGCCTCTTCACTCACGACCAAATATATTTGAGCCAGGCACTGTTCTATTTGCTACAGATATTTCAGTTAGTAGAATAAAAATGTATTCCCTCTTAAGCTTGTATTTCAGAGGCAAGGAGAGATGAAACAGGACTGGCAAAGTGTTCCATCAGATATTCTTTAATAGCTATAAAGACCCCCACTGGAAATTGTAATCTATGCCTATGCAGGGAAGTGATGGAGAGGAAAAATACAAAGTACTAAAGGAAGTTTTAGCTTTGGAATCTGTGTCAAGATATGGCAAATAAATTAAGGAAACGGCATGGACTTCTCTTCTTCCCTAATAGCTCCAGTGAACAGGCCCCTGAAAAACTGAGAGCCATGGCTTGCTGAAGCCCTAAAATCTCTCATCACCTTATTGATGCCTAAAATTTCTTTACTGTGGAAACTAAGTTTTTTATTTCACAGTTAGAGGTAAAAACTTAAAAGTCAAAATCTGGTTGATGTTTTTCACTGAAAAAATTTACATTAAGTATAAAGTAGCAACCATTCAATTGTTCAGTGTAAATAACAACAGTGACCTTACAATGTGTCTTTCAAACCATGACACTTTAAGGCAAAGGGGGACCCTACTAATAATCATGGCAGGACAATACGGATAAACAGACTCTTCTAGGCAAATTAGGATAAAATATCTTCTAAAATAACAATAGTTACTTTCCTGCTTTGTGACTTGCAAGAAGAAAACCTATATCCCAACTGTTAGAATGAAGACAGAATCTCTACTCCATCCAGAAATGACGTGGACATACAGAAAATCAAACGTACACTGAGATATGGACTTGTGACAGCTCTTCAATTGTTGAGAAAAAGAGAAGTCATGCATTAAGATATTTTAGCCATGTATGATTAAAATGCATGCAGCATAGTGGCTCAAGATTTCCATAAAATGAGTTTCATTCCCAAGGATTTGTTAATCAAGCTGTCATTAATTGATTACTTATTAGGAAATCTCTTGGCAACAGGTGTGTAACAAACTTTGATGATGTGAGACAAACCATTTATCTCCTAAGAAAGTCTATATTCCTAATATTTCTTAACTACTCTAAAACATCTTTGATATTTTTCCTGTTTTAAGATTAAAAAATGATTGATGGTAGGTATTGATTTAACACTGAATTAGAATTTATTTTGCCCGTTTATTACCGTAGCACTGTGCACATATGAAGTACTTACATCAACCACATTGTAATTACTATTTCTTGGCACATATCTCCATTGCTAGGATAGATAAATGGGTTTCTATTTTATTTATCTCTGTTTTCGCAGGTTCTAACTTTCTTTTACTTTATTGAGATATAATTGACAAACAAAGTTATATATATTTAAGTTGTATAATGTGATTATTTGATATAATAACATACAGTGGAATCACTGCCACAACTGAATTAGTTAGCACATCCATCACCTCACATAGTTACTTTTTTATTTGTGGTAAAAACATTGAAGATCTAATCTCTTAGCAAACTGCAACTACATAATATTTGTATTATTAACTATAGTCACCATGTTGTACATTAAATCCACAGAACTTATCCATCTTATAATTCAAAGATTATACTCTTTGACCAAAACTCCTCATTTCCCCCAACTCCTCAGCTCCTAGCAACCAACCTTCTACTGTTTCTATAAGTTTGACAAATTTTAGATTCCACATATGGCAGATCACACAGTATTTATATTTCTCTGACTTATTTCACTAAACATAATGCCCTCCAGGTTTCTCTATGATGTAAAATGGCAGGATTTCTTTCATTTTTTTTGGTGGAATCACATTCTACTTTGTGTGCATATAGACACACACACACACACACACACACACACACCACATTTTCTTCATCACTGACAGGCACATGTGTTGGCTACTGTCAGTAAAGCTACAGTGAATGTGGGAGTGCACATATCTCTTCAAGATACTGCTTTCTTAACCTTCAAATATATACTCAGAACTAAGATTTCTGGGTCATATGTGATGTGATTTAGATGTGTCACCACCAAATCTCATGTTGAAATGTGATTCCCCAATGCTGGAGGTGGGGCCTAGTGGGAGGTGTTTGGGTCATGTGGGAGGAAACTTCATGAATGGCTTGGTGCCCTCCTTAATGAGTGAGTTCTCACTCTGTTAGTTCAAGAGAGAGCTGGGTTGTTTAAAGGAGCCTAGTACCTCCCCCTTTCTCTCTTGCTTCCTCTCTCACCATGAGCACACCTGCTCCCTCTTCACCTTCTGCAATGAGTAAAAGCTTCCTGAGGTCTCACAAGAGGCTAAGCAGATGCTGGTCCGATGCTCGTACAGTCTGAAGAACTGTGAACCAAATAAATCTCTTTTCTTTATAAATTACTGTGCTTTGGTCTATGCACCAAAAACACAGCCACCACTTCTGTAGTGCAGAAACTAGAGAACATGCATGAAGAAATAGAAAAACGCTAAAAAACAGATATTTAACATATCATTTTCAATCCAATTCAGGCCATATGGATAAAAGTGGAGTAAGTACATAGGGGTCTTAAATATGCACGCCCGTGTCTTTACCATAGAATTATTTATTTTTCTACTGTCTCAGGTATCCCTTTCTAGCAATGCAAAATGGAGTAAGACAATATGGCAGTTCTATTTTTCATTTTCTTAGGAACCTCCACACTGTATTCCATAATGGCCATACCAATTTATGTACTCAACAACACTGCTCAAGGCTTCACTTTTCTTCACATCTTCACAACAGTTATCTTTTGGTTTTGTAATAATAAAGAGGTGTGAGGTAATATTTCATTGTAGTTTTAATTTCAGCATCTAATTTAAAAAACAATATACTGCAATCTATCCATCTGACAGAGGGCTAATATCCAGAATCTACAAAGAACTTAAACCAGTTTACAGGAAAAAAATAGACAACCCCATCAAAAAGTGGGTGAAGGATATGACAGACACTTTTCAAAAGAAGACATTTATGTGGCCGACAAACATATGAAAAAAAACTCATCATCACTGGCCATTAGAGAAATGCAAATCAAAACCACAATGAGATACCATCTCATGCCAGTTAGAATGACGATCATTAAAAAGTCATGAAGCAACAGATGGTGGAGAAGACCTGGAGAAATAGGAACGCTTTTAAACTGTTGGTGGGAGTGTAAATTAGTTCAACCATTGTGGAAGACCATGTGGTGATTCCTCAAGGAACTAGAACTAGAAATGCCATTTGACCCAGCAATCCCATTATTGAATATATATCCAAAGGATTACAAATCATTCTGCTGTAAAGACACATGCACATGTATGTTCACTATAGCACTGTTCACAATAGCAAAGTCTTGGAACCAACCCAAATGCCCATCAGTGATAGACTGAATAAAGAAAATGTGGCACATATACAACATGGAATACTATGCAGCCATAGAAAAGGATGAGATCATGTCCTTTGCAGGGACATGGATGGAGCTGGAAACCATCATTCTCAGCAAACTAACACAAGAGCAGAAAACTAAACACCACATGTTCTCACTCATAAGTGGGAGTTGAACAATGAGAATGCATGATCACAATGAGGGGAACATCACATGCTGGGACCTGCTGGGGGATGGGGAGCTAGGGGAGGGATAGCATTAGGAGTAATACCTAATGTAATACCTATGTACCCCTACATTAGTAATACCTAATGTAGATGATGGGTTGATGGGTATAGCAAAGCACCATGGCACGTGTATACCTATGTATACATGTACCCCAGAACTTAAAGTATAATAAAAATAAATAAATAATAAGAAGAAAACAGAAAATAAACAACACACTAAGAGGAACTAAGGAAATACACAGAAAGAAATACTGCAAGTTTTATAAAAGCCAAAATAAAAATAAAATAAAATAATAAGCTTGAATTGTATAAGGAAATATGAATAGACAACACATTAATTAAAATAATGAGAAGACAAAAATCTATTTGTCTAATAGACCAATGGAACTAAATAGAGAGCCCAGAAATAATGCCACAGACCTACAACAAAGTCAAAAAAGCAAGCAACAGGAAAAGAACTTCCTATTCAATAAATGGTGCTAGGATAACTGGCAAGCCATATGCAGAAGGTTGAAATTGAACCCCTTCCTTACACCATATACAAAATTCACCCCAAGATTGATTGCAGACTTAAATGTAAGACCTAAAGCTTTATAGGGTTTTTATAAACCCCAAAAGATAAACTAGGAAATACCATTCTGGAAATAGGCCTTAGCAATGATTTTATGATAAAGAAACCAAAAGCAATTGCAACAAAAGCAAAAATTGACAAATGGGACCTAATTAAACTAAAGAGCTTTTGTACTGCAAAAGAAACTATCAAAAGAATAACAGACAACCTTTAGAATGGGAGAAAAGTTTTGCAAACTTTGCAACCAGAAAAGGTCTACTATCCAGAATCTATATAGAACTTAAAAAAAAAAATAACAAGCAAAAAACAACCCCACTGAAAAGTGGGCAAAGGACATGAACAAACTATTCAAAAGAAACATACACTCATCCAACAAGCACATAAATAAATGCTCAACTTTAATTAATTATTAGAGAAATGCAAATCAACAAATTAGTGTTTGATGTGCTACTGGATTTGATTTGCTAGTATTTTGTTGAGGATTGCTGCATCTATGTTCATCAAAGATATTGGCCTGAAGTTTTTTGTTGTTGTTGTTGTTGTTGTGTCTTTGCCAGGTTTTAGCATCAGAATGAGGGGCTCTAAATCTTGAAACAAATCCTTGAAATACACCAAAATAGAACATCTTTAAGTACAAATTTCATAGGTCCTACATAAAAATAACACAATGAAAAAGAAAGGTATTCAGCAACAAATAGCACAATGAATAGAATAGTACCTCACATCTCAATACTAATGTTGAATGTAAATGGACTAAATGCACCATTTAAAAGATACAGAATGGCAGAATGGATAAGAATTCACCAACCAAGTTTCTGCTGTCTTCAGGAGATTCATGTAACACATAAGGACTCACGTAAATGTAAGGTAAAGGGGTGGAAAAAGATATTCTAAGCAAATGGACATCAAAAGTGAGCAGGAGTAACTACTCTTATATCAGATAAAACAAACTTTAAAGCAGCAGCAGTTGAAAATGACAAACAGGGACATTATATAATGATAAAAAGATTAGTCCAATGGAAAATATCACTTCATTCAGGCAGTGGCAACAGAATCTGTGCTTGCTTGCCGCCATTAGTCACAGCAGTGTGGTGAGGTACACATGCGTCAACTGAAGCACGGTAACAATGTCAATGGGGCTGTGGCATTCTTGGATGTGCTTGTGGCAGCAGCATGGTGGTGGTGGGGCTCTGGTAGGGACAGGGTTGCTGGCACCTGTGCTTGCATTAGTCCCAGTGGTGCTGGTGGCAGGCATGGGGTGCTGGTATGCATGGGGCTGCCAGCCCCCCTACACATTTGCACTGGCAGCAGTGGCGGTGCTAGGGGGCAGGGTTGCTGGTGTTCATGCACAAGTTCACACCAGTGACTGTGACATGGCCAGGTGCCCTCACATCAGCAGGCGAGGAGCAGCAGGGTGTGCTTGGCTGGCAGCAGTGACACACACAGTAGAGTACCTGTGCTGGAAGAGGAGGGGAGGTGAAGTCTGCCCATGGGAATGCTGGCAAAGCAGTGGGCAGGGGAGGTGGCTGTGGGCAAGTGCATACCAGCAAAGCAATGTAGGGGAGGCTGCAGTAGGGGAAGAGTGCTGGTGGGCTGGTGCATGACGGCAGAGGCCAATCTGCAGGAGCTCTCCAATGGTCAGGCATGGTCTGCCAGTAAAGGAGCTATAATGAGGGTCCTTCAGAAACACGCCGGTTGGGCCCCCGAGGCTGCGCTGCAAGAAGCTGTAGCCAGGCTGGGGTCCTGGGAGAGGCCAGGAGAGAGGAGGGCCACTCAGATCAGACTGGCCCTGCCTCATGGGCAAGACCTCTCTCCTCCATCCAGGTCTGACAGTCACTAAGGCTAGTCTCCTAGAAGAGCATTCTTATCTTTGAGGGACGGATAGACATTTCTGGCCGTGCTCCATGGCAGATGATTCCACACTAAGCCCTCTGAGCTCTGCACAGGCTGAAGTCCTGCCCCATCACCTCTCTAAGCAGTTCTCCCTGACAACTCAAGTGTCCATGATATTGTGAGGCCTCCTGTTGCCAGGATTCTGGAGGTCCATGGCAAAAGTGAGCCATTCCTTGCCTGTCCAATTCACCCCTTCCCTAGGAGTCACTGAGGCCCAGGAATGAGTCCCAATGCTCAGTAACCCCTGCAGTGTTCCCAGATTCCTCCCCATTCAGCTCAACATTTATGTCCTCCCTCCATCAACTCTCAGTGCCTTCCCTTGAAAGATCTGCTAGGAGTGTGCCAGTCTCCCAATCTCCCTTTCTCTCTGTGGAAGATGTTCCTCCTGGCTGCATCTATCCTGCGATCTTCCAATTGAAAATTTATAAACTTTATTTTACACCTTTTGTGTAAAAGGGAAAATATATAATAAAATTGCAGAATTTCTAAAAATTAATGAAAAATCAAAACATTGCATAAGAAAAATTATGGAATAAAATTAAACAACTCTATGAATTTAAGGCTATGAGTTTTCTTGTGCTAACAAAAAAAATGAAAGAATAAAACAAATAAATTTCTTTTGTGACTCATTACATTATGGAAAACAAAATAAGGTTAACGAAGAGAAAACTATAGAATAATATATCATGAAAGAGATGCAAAACTCTGTAATAAAATATTTACAAATTGAAGCCATCGATCTATAAAAAAGATAAATATCATGACCAAATGGGTTTATTCCAGAAATTCTACATTGGCTTAACATTTGAAAATCAGTCAATGTAATTCAACGTATTAACAAAATAACGAAAATGAATATATAATTAACCCAGTGGATTAAAAAAAAATGTGGGAAAATTCCACACTCATTTATAAACGCTTTTTGTGTAAGATCTGAAGCAAGGTTAGAATTTCACTATCAGCACATGCCCAACATTGTTCTACATTCCTAACAGGTAAAAGAGTTGAGAGAAAAAAGATATATAAAAGAACAAAGATTTAGGGGGAAAAAAGCAAAAGTGGCTATTTACAGATGACGTAATTTTTTTCATAATTTTTTTAAGTTCAGTGTTCAACAAAAAGCTAGTAAAAATAATGTCAATTTAGCATAATTGCAGGATACAAGATCAATATGCAAAAATAAATTGTATTACTAAATTAGAATTACTAAACTATTAGAATAAACAATTTGAAAATATAACTTTAAAAATAATTTTATGATAGTAAATTTTGAAAATAATAAAGATAAATATAACAAAATATGTGTAAGACCTACACTATGAAAATTACAAAACATTACAGGAAAATCAGCCGAAATAATTGATATGATATATAATTTTTAACGGAATGGAACACTAAATGCTTAAGATACTGTTTTTCCCCAAATTGATTACAGATTCTACAAGATCCCAAACATAATCTCAGTGTGTGCTTACCTAAATTGACAATATAAATCTGAAATGTATATGGAAAAATAAAGGATTAAGAATTGCCAAAACACCTTTGAAAAATATATGAGAATGGTCTCTGATTTCCTATGATAAAACTACAATCATCAAAACAGTGTTTCACTGGCATAAGATTAGATCTATTAATAAAGGAATCCAAATAGAAAGTCCAGAAATAAACTGATATGTGGTCAGTGTGTTTTTGATATGGGTACCAAAGTAATTCAACTGGAAAAATACTTTTTTTTTTTTTTAAACGATACTAACACAACCCACTATACCTGGGGGATAATTAACATTGTCCCTTTCTGACTGACACCATTGCAAAAATTAACTTGAAATATATACACACCTAAATAGAAGCACCTGTGTACATGTGTGTATGTGTGTATATAGTGAGATAAAGCAAATATGACAAAATGTAAATGTTAAAATGGGTGAATTCAGGAAAAGCTATAAAGGATAGTCATATATTATCTTCCAACTGCTTTTTAGCTTTATATTTTTCAAAATAAAAAATTTTGAGAAAAATGTCTGAGGCAAATATGGAAAAAATTAACTTTTGTTCAAGCTGGTTGCTTGATACAAGATGGTCTATCATTATTCTCTATTCAGTATGTATTTGAAAGATTTTAACATTAAAAATAAAATTATTAAACTAATATAAATATTATATAGCTAATTTTATTAACTTTATTTTACAATTAAATGCTGCATTCATGAAGAGACTGATTATCTTATAAGTACTTAGTGTTCAAAATGTAGCTTAAGTTAATTACCTTGTGTTTTGCTATGAGGATATATATTAATAGCTTGTTTATATACAACTTCATAAATAGGTCACACTCCATAAACTTCAAACAGTTCTCAGTGGCTGTAACTTCTTATCATAACCATGAATGTACTGAGAAGAAAACTTCAGCAGTTTCGAAATAAAGACAGTCCTTGATCCCTATTTAGATTCTGAGATTATTGTATCAGGTTAAATTCCATGACACTTGAGAATAAACATTCTATTGCAATCTTGCCAGAGATAAAGCCAGTAAAAATTTGTCTAGTTTCATTTTAATCCCAAAGCAATACCTTTCTTCTTTGCTGTTATTGTCATTCATCTCAGAAACTCAGAGTGTTTTACAAAAGACACAGTAATATTACCCATTACAAAGAAAAGAGAAAGGAGGTGGCAATGGACTTAATCCATTTCAGAGTGTCACCCAGGGCCTGAAGGAGTGGCTAGGGAATTGAGCAATCTAAACTTCTCAGAAGTGGTGCAAAGTTACATTCACTCAAATACAAAGCCCGTTCTGGGTTAGTATTCATGTTTCAGTAAAGTTTCTCTTAAGTTAATTTTTCTACAAAGCCGAATACAAATCAGCGTTGAACAAAGGTATTACGGCTTTCAAAAGTGGGCTTTTAAACATTGATAGGAGCACTGTGATAATGATGTTGTAGTGCACTTTAAGGGAAAAGATGTGTGGGAAAAATACAAAGAAAAAAAAAGCAGTGTGCCCAATTAATCTGCAAATCAAAGTCTGCCCCTTAGAAATAATTATTATGTTTCAGGAACTGAGGATGAACAGAAAGCGCCAAAGTATATGTCATTTGTATGCTGAGACATTTGAAACCTTTTACATGGGTCATCTGCAATGGTAAAGGGGAGTGTTTCTAAAATTTCTTTGTTCAGAATTCAAAAGAAATTTCTCCACAGAAGCCATATTATTCATGATGTTTTTTAGGCTAGGTTTCAGAGCAAGACCACAAAAACCTCCTGGGTTCCAAATGGACCTAAAATGTGGTATACATAACCCTTTACTTTTTCCTTTGCCACTGGAACAAATGCATAGTCGCTCTGAGGCTTTCTTAGACCTTGCTTGCAGGAAATGATGGAAAGCCACACATGGTAAAATAATACCATGCCCTATATAAACTGGTCATTGGGGTCAGAATGTGACTTTATGTCAGAAATACCTGTCGTGAGGTGGGGAGGCTAAATGTATCAGGCCCACTTCCCAAGCGGACCCGTTTTCGGGGTAAAGGTTCTCACAAAAACGTAGGAAGGTTAACATAAGGAGAGTCTGGAAAAGTCCGGAAAAAGATACTAATGTGACATTAGTATCTTCATCTCCTGCAAGTCCAAACTCCGTATGATATCATATGACTCATAGGGTGTTATCTGGTATTTCTAAGTGTTCTTATCATTGATACTTCATTAATTATCAATAACAATTGTAAATTATTAATAATAATGATTAACCATTGGTGAATGTCTTAAGTATTATGTTTAATTAATAATGTACAATGTTTTATTAATAATACTAGCTACATTTTACTGAGTACATATATATATAAAGCACTTAATTAACTTTATCCCTTATACTCATAACAATGCTGAAAAAGAGATCATATTATCCCCAAAGCACAGAGGAGGAAACTGATGTTTAGGGATATTAAAACTACACTTTCAGTTATTCAGCTCTAAACTGGTAGAGTCATGCTTTCAATTTAACTCCTCTTGCTTTAACTACTACATGTATTAATTAATTTATTCAAGAAATGTTTTAACTTTGAGAGGCAACTGTGCTGTAGGAGATTTTGTCCATCCAGTAGCAAAGGGGAGTGATTCGAAAGGAGAGCTAGTAGAAGAACAAAACGGGAGAAATATAGGATGAAGGAAGAGAAATAATAGGATAAAGGCTAATAGATTTGAGTTGTAATTTAGGGGATCAAATAAGAGATAATCTTAAGCATATATGTGTGTATGTATGTATATACAGCCTCTTTCATTTCATGATGATAAATCCCATCCCAAATATTATAGATTTTTACATTTGATTCCATTTGCTTTAAACAATAAATCCACGAATTGGACAGGGTATCAACTAGGAAAATGTGATACTATGTACGTTTCCCTATTTCAGGTTTTAGAATATGTGAAGACAATGTTGCTAGTCATGGAAATATAGAGTGCTATAAAAATAATAACTTTATGTGAAGTAAAAAGTTAAACTTTTGACAAAAATGGGACATAAGTGAAAATATTCTATGTGGGACATTTTAATTTTTTTCAACTTCTAATCGGTGATGGCAGTACATAAACGGCAACTGCATATGGAAGAAAAAAAATATGCCAGTACCTAAGTATATTTAGGAAAATCTGTGACTGAGAAATATGTGCTGGTTTGGAGAAAACAGAAAAAAATATAGTCTTCTATTACAAGAGATGACAGTACTTCAGAAATAAAACTATATCTCTGCTCATAAAACTAAGGATATGAATATTTTCTGTCCACTTGCCAGTTGCTAAAAGTAATCTGGTGAATACTCATGGAAAATTAGGAGTTCTCTAGGATTCTCAGTCACAATATGAATACCACATCTCTAATATTTGTTGGCACTATGACATTTCTGAACTCTTGTTTTAAGAGCTCTCAAATGAAAAACACTCGTCTGTCTAGTAGCATGTTTTCCCAGGTATGCTGATTTGAGCTCCAGCTAAGTGAATATTTGTTACCAGCATGCTCTCCTTGCCTATCCAAGCCTTTATGTCAGTGGCATTTCCAACATAAAAGTTATATATGTATAAATCTGTTGAAGTTCAAGAGAATCAATATACACACCCCACTTTTTCCTGTCTGAGTTCTGAAACAATCAAGATGGGCAGAGATAGGAAAAAAAAAGAGGGAAATAAAAATATCAGCTTCACCACGGATGGAGCAAATATAGACTGTGGCTTATGTGGATTATATCCTAATCCTTAAGTGTTGACGTCCTCATCTTCACCCAAGAATCAGGCAGACTCATCTGTACAGTTACAGGTAGAGCTGCAGAGCCACAGGTCTCCCCCTGTAGGTTTTATACCTCCAAGCCTACCACATGGTCAGGAACAGACCCAGGCTCCTGCTCTACACTGAGAGGTGGATCCCAATATGACATGACATGAGGACAAAAAGGATTAACAAACAAAGCAATCCCAGTTTCTAGTTCCAGAGTCACCTGTCACTTGCATCATTTCTTGGCTCCTGGGAAGGCATGAATAGGGGTAGAGAGAGATCAGGAGGGTTATCCTAATGGATATTCCTCCAGATGGAAGAAAACAACAAGACTAGGCACGACTCTTTCCTCAAACAAAAGCAACATGAGTAGTATAAAATTACACACATAGTATGGCTCATCAATGCATGAAAAATTAGAAACTTTCCATCATTCAGAAAACATTTACTGAGGGTCTGCCTTATGACGAGCACCATGCTAGCAACTGAAGTACAAAGCACATAAAACACGATGTCAAATCACAGTTTCTATTCTTTAACTGTGCAATGTATCCAAGACAAATATTCAAAAGATAATTTAAAAAAATAATGTGAGGTATTCAGAACAAATTAGAGATCTACATTAGAATATTAGAACCTTTGAATATTATTTAAATTATGAATGATACTCAAGATAACACCTATATCATTTTATAGACAAAACATGGCCATAAAAAACAATAAGCTGCTTTAAATTCAACCAATTTCAATAATTCGATTATTTGGCATTCTACATTCTCAATACTTTAAGGACAAAACTTCAAAACTTTTGTATTTACAATAATTTGCATTTTTTTTCTTTTTACCTCCCAGACAAGTGATGCCTCCCTATTAATGCCTATCCTCCATTTATTTATCATAAATACTGTAAGAGCTCTGCAAAAGTGAAGAATAGTATTTTGTTTCATTTTTTTTCCAAAGATGGACTTCATTAAAACATGATTTGTTGGGTCTTTGCCAGGCAACTGAGATAAAGATAAAATAATATAACAAGAACCTTCTGGTTCTTTCAGTAACCAGCACCAATCACTGGGATTATGCTAAATTTCATGCTATAGCAGGTCATATTTTATCAAGGTTCCACTGCATTTACAGTGAACAATAGACCACTATGTAAATCACTTTATTATAACCTTCAAGGTGGTTCTTTAGGCCTGGAGACCTTCTCCACAAAACTTTTAATATAAAGGTTGACAATATTATTTATTAAAACAGCAAAATAAATTATTTTCATGGAACCTCTAAAAGCATACATTCTTAAAAAAGATTATGTTATATAAAGAAATATTTGCATATAACAATATAAATAAAAATAGCTAATATCTATTCAGTGCTGTCTCATGGCTACCAGGTTTAAGAGACTTACATATATTATCTCAAATATTAACTTCACTGTGGCACTATGAAATAGATACTATTGTCTCTGTTTCACACAGGAAGAAACTGGAATATAAAGGAAACAAAATATTACTGAAAACTCAAATTTCTAAATAATTTCTCAAAAATCACATTTAATTAGTATGAGCAATCCTGGAGATGAACTAGGGTCTGAAGAACTCTAGACCTACAATCTTAAAATATCCTGCCTCTAATATTTCAACCAAATGACAGATTATGTATCTATATAAAATCTACATAAAGTTTATCACATGCTGTTAAATGACAATAAAATAATATTTTACATAAATCAATATAATATATAATGTATTTATTTAACACATTATCCATATATTTGTGTAAATACATTACAGGCACCTTTACTTTGTTTATAGGCATTATTGCAGATGGATTTAAAACTTTCAATCTCCTTGTAGATTTTTAGGTACTCAGATTATGCTAAATGCCTACTTCTCTCTTATAAATTCAAACCACAAAATAAAAGCAAAATACCTCAACTATTTATACCAGTGATGCTAAAATATACCTGAAAGAAATCATAATTTATTATATAAACACATTTGATAAGTCTGATATAACATTATACATACACACACTTTTTTTTTTTTGTAACATGACTGGTGAAATAAATAAATAGATTAAAACCTTACCATGAAGTTGAATCTGAAGGAACTGGAATGTAATGTAAAATGTAAATTATATGTTCCTTCAAAATATAAATTATAAAACAACATGAGCGTACTTTTTGTTCGTTTCAAATCCTCTACTGAAAAACAGGAAAAAGGTATAAATACCTAACTGGGTTTTTTGGGCTTACAGTAGCTCCCAGACTTTAGTGGGAGTCAGAATCACTTGAAGGACTTGTTAAGCTAGATTGCTGGATCCCACTCCCAGTTTCTTATCCAATGGTCTAGATTGGGTCTGAGAATTTATATGCCTCACTTGTTCCCAGGTGATGCAAATACTGGTTCAGGGATCACACTCTGAGAAACACACTTGAGAATCTGAAAGACATAAAGTCTCTTACCCTCATCTGTAGCAGACCAAATCTCAGCATCAACTGCTTTGCGAGGATGTGAGCAGGGAAGGGGTAGGCTAATCAGCAAGTAGTTAAAATAAATTGTTCCTAAGACTCAGAAAACATTAGAATCACCTGAGGAGGTTTTAAAACTCCTATTGCTCAGGCCCTATCCCAGACCAATTCAATTAGAATCTCTTGGTGTAGGATTCAGACCTTAGTAACTCTAAAGCATCCCAGGTGATTCCAATGCAGTCAAATTTGAGAATAACCCATGAGAAGAATCCAGTAACTCTGCTCATGCCCAGTGGTGGCAAGCAACAGCCTGCATATTACAGATCTCAAGGACGTTGAGATTAGAAGTAGTGTGTATTCTCAATCTTAAGTAAGTCACTGCATTTTGTTTTCTTATCAAATGCATAAAACTTTATAGCTGTTTATAACTTTAAATCAATACTTATATGATTTAGCTTTATATGTATGCTTAAATACTAAAGATATTTATGATATAATTATAGTTCCTCTCAGTAATCTCTCTCTTTTCCTTTTTCTCTTTTTCCTAACTTTTGCATTTGTCTTAGCTCTTCAAATATACCCCAGACTTATGTATAATGTTCCACATACCCGTGTAATACAATGGATAGACGGAAAGCTGTACATAAATCATTAAGCATACTTAACCCAGTGCTCTAGATTAGGGACTTGAATTTTGGGTTCATGCTTGTTAGTTTTATGACCTTGAGTAAAGTCTTCCAACTTTTGATCTGTAGAAAGAAGCTAATGACAGTACCTGCTGCCTAGAATCATTGTGTGAATTAAATGAAATAATGCCAGGAGGTATTTAACAAATAAGGAAGGGCTCAAATATAAGCTGTTTCATTATATTTCTTTTCTCTTTTAAATTGGTATGTCATTTACTTTGGTTACAAAAAATAAAAAAAATAGTTTTATCTGAAATCTATGACTAAAATATTTCTGTTTGCTGCATGTGTACTTTTGTTAACAATTATAAACTCATGTTGCTGCCTTTAATAGAATTAAATAAATATGGCAATTAAAGTGGGTAGGATTTTGGTTAAGAAACACTAGAGTCAGCTGACAAAGGAAAATCAGTTGTAGAGAGATAGAGGGGGACGTTTTTTGAGTAGAATGTAAGAAATTCTGTAAAATTCAGTTCCCAGTCTACTCCTGATGCTTATTAATGAAATCTTTTTAATGAATTAATCATTTGCATTTTATGCCTCTATTCTTTGGGCTAGAAATCACTAAATTTAAACATACAGCTTTAAATAGACTACATTTTTTCAATTATATGTTTAGCATTTATTTTTGTAGCTAAGTGAAGTTGTCTTACATACCAAAACATGGTAATATACCATGATTTTTACATGACTGATCTCATTGAAAAACATATATATCAGCCAGGTGCAGTGGCTCACACCTGTAATTCCAGCACTTTCAGAGGCCAAGGTTGGTGGATCACCTGAGGTCAGGAGTTCAAGGCTAGCCTGGCCAACATGGCGAAACCATGTCTCCAATAAAAATACAAAAATTAGCCGGGCATGGTGGTGCATGCCTGTGGTCCCAGATACTAGGGAGGATGAGGCAGCAGAATCGTTTGAACCTGGGAGGTGGACGTTGCGGAAGTAATTTCCTCGCATATCTTTTTCGTACATGTTTTATACAATTAACTCATATTTGATCATGTATTTTTAAAATGTTCGAGTATCATCTCTTAAAAATAATTTTCCCCTGCTTCGGATAATATAAATGTTATTGTCTTTTATTTTTCATCAGGCAATTTATATAAATAAAGGAATGATTTCTCTAATAATTATTTATTATCCTTTTACAGTAATGTTAGTTTTTGTTACAATTTTATAAATAAAATAAAAATTAACAAGTCACTGAAGTGAATAATATGAGTATCCAATATATTTTATTGAATTACTACTATGAACAAGGTATTATAAAAGCAGTGAATAATTATGGTGGGATAACCTAAAACCAAGAGTTGGTAAACTCACCATAAAAGGGGAGATAGTAATTACGGGCAGTCTCTGTATCATTCTTTTTCTTCTTCTTTTAAACAAACATTTATAAACAACAAAACTTTTCTTGGCTTGAAAACTATACCAAAATGGGCTGTGAACTGGATTTGGCTTCTGGGCTGTATTTTGTCAGCCCCTAACCAAAAATACTTTTAGAGTCTTTTACCATTAATATCAGTGTGGTTTTTGAACCAACATTTGAATATTGTCAGAAAATTTTCAATGACATTTAGAGAACATTCATGAAAGTGCCCAATAATTGAAAAATGGTTAGAAATCAACATAATTCATACAAAATTGTGGACACACAATGATTCAGTAACACCGAGTTGCACAATAGCGACACTACCAGAACAAACTTAAAAAAAAATGCCTAAAATAGAGACAGCTGTGCATGATTTACTTCAGTTTTAGTCATAAAATTCAGTATTATGTGCCAAGAATCTGAATTATGAAGCAAGGAATAAAAAGGCACAGATTTCTTGTAATGAAGTGTTACCCACAGAAGGGAAAAATGAATGCAAATTTTACCTATATTTGAATAAGGACAATTGTCAGTAACATAGGGTGCAATTATTTGTTCATGAATCCGTGTGCACAAATATATACATAGTTTTATTTTTTTAAAACATTCACAATGACTTCTATTTTCATGCAAAAATATTTCTTATATCCTCAAAATATACATCTTCAGAATATAAGCTTTATTATTTGGAATATATTAAGTTACACTGTATAAATACAACATAAATGTAATTTAGGCATTGATAGTATTTCACTAATGATGTTCTGGCTGAACCAGTTAAAAATTGCTTTGCAAAACTTTAAAAAACTTTTGTTATTTTTATTCCTTGGAAGACTTCTGAAAAAGCAATTACATGACTGTGTGTGTGTGTGTGTGTGTGTGTGTATATATATACATATGTATGAGTGTATATATATATATACATATATATGTATGTATATATATATACATATATATGTATGCATATATATATACACACATATATATACACACACACACACGCACATATATTTAAGTAGCAATTCATATATTTTAAGAATCACAGGGTTTTAAATAGGATACTTTCCTAAAAGACTATCTTTACTTTTGCCTGGAAGCTTTCATAGTCATTATCAGTCTTCTATCCCAGGGAGAGGAAAAAAAAAGGAAAAACCTAAAAACTGTACTAGAAGAACCATTTCAAGACCAATTGATTTTATTGCCTGCATACTGATTTTGCAGAATTATTTGAGAAATGAAGGAGAAGGAAGCTGCTGAGAAAGCACAGTAGAAATCCATCAGAGAAAAAAATTTATAGAAACTAAATCACATCATCTTGGTATATTACAGAATGCTGTGAAGAAGTATGAAAATGACTATGTCTCAATTGAAAAAAGAAAGCCAGAGGTATACACCTACAACTTATGAAAGACAGTTTATATTATACACACATAAATAATATACATGTTTATATTACAGTGAATTATATTATTAAGTATATATATATCAATGTAAAATGTATACCAAAATACATATATGAAGATTGCTATTTCCTGCCTTTGAAAAATGTGCTAAGCAATTTAGCTCAGTTTTCATGTTGTGTAATTAGAGAAATTCATCTTATTGCTAGTTAAAATGTGATCAGTGACCACGGTTTAGTGTTTGAGACTCACTAAATGTTCCACTGAGACTCCAGGGGCAGCCATTGTGGGTGAGTTAGAGCATTACGAAAGAAGGGAAAACAGTTGAAAGGATTGCTATAAATAGAAATACGCAAGAAAGACATTGAAGGCCTAAGAAATGTAGTGGTAAATTTTACCTATAGTGTAGTAAAACTTTTCGATAAAAGATAATGTTAGAGAATAATTTTTAAAAATTAGTAGCTGTTTCTTAGACATGATTAAAGGAGAAACTGAAGATGGATTGTGGTTTAGAAGTGTCAGAGAATTATTAATATATTTGACTAGTAGGAAATACTACCACAAGAACAGAAAACCGGATACCGCATGTTCTTACTCATAAGTGGGAGTTGAAAAATGAGAACACATGGATGCAAGGAGGGGAATACCACACACTGGGGGTGAGGGGCTAGGAAAGGGATAGCATTAGGAGAAATACCTAATGTAGGTGACGGGTTGATGGGTGCAACAAACCACCATGGTATGTGTATACCTATGTAACAAACCTGCACGTTCTGCACATGTACCCCAGAACTTAAAGTATAATTTTTTAAAAAGAAATTTAAAAAAAAATGTTAAACTGTAAAGAGATATAGAGTTTTTTACTTGTTCTAATATTTTTTACTTCTAATAACAAAGTGGCAGAAATCCAGTAAATATAACTCGTATTAGAAAAGAGCAGACATAAAATATTAAAAAGCTGTCATTAAACTTTACTAAGAGAACCACAATAAAGACATTTGAAGTACTTATTTCTGCTTTTAATCTGCTGTAATAAAATTTATTTTGAAGTAGGATATTTACCTGAAAGTATCTAAAAAATTTATTCAATGATGAAATGTAGCATAATTCAGAGGATGTTTGCAAAACGTATTTCAAAACTAAAATATATTTAATCAATATTATATAAATTACTTCATGGAAGGGTGAGAAAACTGTTTCTCCTGTTTATAGTAAGTGACATACAAATTAATTGCATATAAAAAGTTATCATGGCCCACAAAGCAAAAGCCCTCATGATGACAACTCAGATATCTGATAAAGAAAAGTCCATTACTTATATTTTGTGATGTAAGCATGTATTCATTGCTTATGCTCCATTTAGGTTGAGGAGGTGGCTAAAACCTATTCAGGTGACAGTAGGGGGGGAAATAAGTCTGAGATGAAAGTTCCTTATCTATCTATCATATTGAAAAAATAATGTATGTTATTAAAATGGACTTCTGATATTTTTACTTACACAGAAAAAATAGAAAACAAGGATTTAGGCTAGGTGCAATGGCTCATACCTGTAATCCCAACACTTTGAGAGGCTGAGGCAGGAGGATCACCTGAGCCCAGGAGTTTGAGACCAGCCTAGGAAAAGTGCTGAGACCTTGTCTCTACAAAAAAAAAAAAAAAAAAAAGCTAGTTGTGGTGGTGGCACACACCTGTGACCCAGCTACTCGGGAAGCTGAAGCAGGAGGATCTCTTGAGCTCAAGAGGTTGAGGCTGCAGTGAGCTGTGTTTGTTATCACTGCATTCCAGCCTGTAGCAACAGAGCAAGACCCTGTCTCAAAAACAAAAGAAAAATTAAAAAACAAAAATAATAATAAGGTTTTGATGTTATGTATTATTTCACATAGCACATGACCATCAATGAAAGGAATGTTGTAAGGATAATCATTTCTTAAACTAATATTCTCAAATACTAAACTCTCAGGTTTTGCTTTATTTAAAACAGAATGAATTTGGTTCAATATTAACATCTCAAACTTAACTAAAATGGCAGGCTTCCAGAAATATTCTACTTTATTTACTATTAGTATCTGCAGAATATGGGGATAACAGTGATAAATTTATTTGATAATTGATCATAAGGCATTTTTCAAGAATTGTACAAGATAACAAGGTTGATATTTGTTTTATCTTCAAAATTATTTTTAATATGCTGAGCAGCCAGTAACTGGTTATATGTATGCCATCACACATTTTTTTCAACTACCAGAAAGTGTTGTGCAGAATCTTTCCAACAACACAGGAGTATACATCAATTAGAAACAGAAATGTTCTTGTGTTCCATAGGAGCAAAATATTAAGAAGTGTTCATGTATTTTACATTAAGAATTTAAGCTTTTTATATACTATGTTTAGGCCTTTCTAACTTATAAGGCTCTATTAAAGTTATTCCTTTATGTGTACCATTAGAAATAACTATGACATGTAGTTCTTCTTTTGTATATCAAAAAATTTATTTTCTTTTGATAAAATGTATATAAAACTGACAACACACATCTGGTATTGAAATACTGTCACTTTATTTCTGAATCAACTCCTATCAAAGTGTCTGTTTTTTTTCAAATTGAAGAACTATTACATGAAAATGGAAACAGAATATGTTTTATTTTTTTCAACTTTACAGATTCAGGGGGTGCACGTGCAAGTTTGTTACATGTGTATATTGTGTGATGCTGAGGATACGATTGATCCCATCACCCAGGTACTGAGCATAGTACCCAGTAGTAAGTTTCTTAACCCTTGCCCTTCTCCCTCCCTCCTCACTCTAGTAGTCCCCAGTGTCTATTGTTGCAATTTTATGTTACTGAGAAACCAGAAATGTGGGTTTAGCTCCCACTTAAGTGAGAGTATATAGTATTTGGTTCCTGAGTTAATTCACTTATGATAATGGCCTGCAGCTGCATCCATGTTGCTGAAAAGGACATGATTTTGTTCTTTTTATGGCTGTGTAGTATTTCATGGTGTATATATACTACATTTTCTTCATCCAATACACCACTGAGGGACATCTAGGTTGATTCCATATTTGCTATTGTGAATAGTGCTGTGATGAACATATGAGTGTATGGGTCTCCTTGGTAGAACAATTTGTTTTCTTTTCGATAATATACCCAGTGATTGCTTTGCTAGGCTGAATGGTAGTTCCGTTTTAACTTTTTGAGAAATCGCCAAACTATTTCCACAGTGGCTGAACTAATTTACACTCCAATCAACAGACCGTAAGTGTTCCCTTTTTTCCATAGCCTCACCAACATCTGATGTGTTTTGATTTTTTAGTAATAGCCATTCTGACTGGTATGAGGTGATATTTCACTGTGGTTTGATTTGCATTTATCTGATTTTTAGTGATATCTAGCATTTTTTTCAGGTTAGTTGGTTGCTTGTATGTCTTCTTTTGATAAAAGTCTGTTCATGTCTTTTGCCCATTTTCTAATGAGGTTATTTGGTTTTTGCTTCTACAATTGTTTAAATTGCATATAGATTCTGGATATTAGACCATTTTTCAGATGTAAAATTTGCAAATATTTTCTCACATTCTGTAGGTTATCTTTTAACTCTGCTGGTAGTTTCTTCTGCTGTGCAGAAACTCTTTAGTTTAATTAGGTCCCACTTGTCCATTTTCATTTTTGTTGCAATTGCTTTTGAGGACTTAGTCATAAATTCTTTCCTGAAGCCAATATCCAGAATGGTGTTTTCTAACTTTCTTCCAGGATTCTTAGAGTTTGAGGTCTTACATTTGAAATTTTTGACCTATATTGAGTTAATTTTTGTATATGGTGAAAGATGGGGGTCTAATTTCATTCCTCTGCAATGGCTAGCCAGCTAATCCAGCACCATTTATTGAAAAGGGAGTAGTTTCCCCATTGCTTGTTTTGTCAATTGTCAAAGATCAGATGGCTGTAGGTGTGTGGCTTTATTTTTGGGTTCTCTAATCTGTTCCTTTTGTCATGTGTCTGTTTTTCCACCAGTACCATGTGATTTTGGTTACAACAGGTTTATGGTATAGTTTGAAGTAGGGTCATGTGATACCTTCAGCTTTGTTCTTTTTGCTTAGGATTTCCTTGGCTATTGGATTCTTTTTTGGTTCCATGTGAATTTTAGAATAGTTTTTTTTCTAGTTCTGTGAAGAATGTCATTGGTAGTTTGATAGAACCTATAAATTGTTTTAGGCAGTATTGCCATTTTAATAATATTAATTCTTCCAATCGTGAGCTTGTAATGTTTTCCATTTGTTTAAGTCATCTATGATATCTTTTAGCAGTTTTTTCTAGTTCTCCTATTAGAGATTTTTCACCTCCTTGGTTAGATGTATTCCTGGGTATTTTATATTTTTTGTGGCTATTGTAAATGGGATTGCATTCCTGATTTGGCTCTCACCTTGAACATTATTGGTGTATAGAAACGCCACTGATTTTTGTACATTGATTTTGTATCTTGAAGCTTTACTGAAGTCATTGATCAGTTCCAGGAGTCTTTTTGTGGAGTCTTAGAGTTCTCTAGTTATAGAAACATATCAGTCAGCAGAGATAGTTTGACCTCCTCTTTTTCTATTTGGATGCCTTTTATTTCTTTCTCTTGCCTAATTGCTCTGGCTAGCACTTCTAGTACTATGTTGAATAAGGATGGTGAGAGTGGGCATCCTTGTCTTCTTCCAGTTCTCAAGGGGAATGTTTCCAGCTTTTGCCCATTCAGCACAATGTTAGCTGTGGGTTTGTCATAGATGGCTCTCATTATTTTGAGGTATGATTCTTCAATGCCTAGTTTGCTGAGGGTTTTTATTATAGTAGGATGTGTCATTTTATCAAAAGCTTTTTCTGTGTCTGTTGAGATGATCATATGGCTTTGGTTTTTTATTATGTTTGTGTGTTGAATCATTTTTTATTTGTGCATGTCAAACCAACTTTGCATCCCAGGAATGAAGCCAATTTGATTATAGTGTATTATTATTATTATTGGTATGCTGCTGGATTCAGTTTGGTAGTATTTTGTTGAGAATTTTTGCATCTATGTTCATCAGGGATATTGGCCTATATTTTTTTCTTTTTGTCATATCGTTGCCAGGCATTGGTATCAATGTGATGCTGGCTTTGTAAAATGAGTTAGGGAAGAGTCCGGCCTCTTGGAATTTTTGGAAAAGTTTCAACAGAATTGGTACCAAACCTTCATTGTATGTCTGGTAGAATTTAGCTGTGGATCCATCTGATCCAGGGCTTTTTAGGGTTGGTAAGTTTTTTATTACTGATTTGATTTCAGAACTTGATATTGGTCTGCTCAGGGTTTCAAATTCTTCCTTATTCAATCTTGGGAGATTGTGTTGCCAGAAATTTACTCATTTCATTTAGATTTTCTAGTTTTGTATGTCTGGAGGTATTCATAATAGTCTTTGAAGATGTTTTATATTTCTATGGGATTGGATGTAATGTCACCCGTGTCCTTCTGATTGTGCTTATTTGGATCTTTTCCCTTTTTTATTTGCTAATCTAGCTAGTGGTCTATTAATCATAGTTATCATTTGAAAGAACTAACTTTTGATTTCACCGATTCTTTGGGGTCTCAATTTCATTCAGTTCCGCTGATTTTAGTTAATTTCGTCTGCTAGCTTACGGATTAGTTTGTTCTTCTTTCTCTATTTCCACTAGGTGTGATGTTAGATCATTAATTTGAGATCTTTCTAAGTTCGGGGTAGGCATTTAGCACTACCAACTTTCCTCTTAATACTGCTTTTGCTCCATCCCAGAGATTTTGGTATGCTGTGTCTCTGTTTTCACTTATGTCACATATCTTTTTTTTTTTTTATTATTTCTGCCTTAAAATCATTGTTTATCCAAAAGTCATTCAGGAGCAAGCTGTTTAATTTGGATATTATTGTGTGATTTTGAGAGATCTTTTTGGTATAGATTTCCGTTTTTATTTCACTGTGTCCCAAGAGTATGAATGGTATGGTTTTAAGGGGTTTTTTTTTAAGTTTATTAAAACTTGCTTTATGAGTGAGCATGTGGTTAATCTTGGAGTATGTTCTGCGTGCAGATGACAGGAACGTATATTCTGTAGTTGATAGGTGGAGTACAGCATATGTTTTAAATATCATGAATTCACCTTTTTGTTTACAGTTAGCCCCAATTTATTTTTGAATGAAGAAAAAGATGTGATAAACTGCATTTTCAACTGATACATTTTTCAGAGTTTATATCCTCTTAACATTTTCCATTAAATTGTCATTTTACAATTTATAGAAAGTATGCAATCACTTTTCTCTCAGAGATAAAAACAATAAACTACGTAAAAAGTAACACTTTCTTAATGGTATATCGCAACACACGAAACACATTTGGCCTCCTCTTACAAATTATAAATTAGACTTTCATAAAACTTATAAAATAATAGTCATTACAAACCCATATAGTTGCTCTAAAATTCTCAAATGTAATAATTACTATTTAAACTAAGAAGTGTACAATGGGATAATTTAAATTATTAGGTATCTTGCTTGTTTTTTTGAAAGGTTATGGTTTTATACTGGGAAATGTGTCAACAATTAATTTGGCCAAGAATAAAATACCCAGAAGTATTTGGTAAATAATAATAAGTAAAAAATTGTAGAATATATGCATTTCAAAATTATTGTAAGTACTTTTTCTATGTAAAATTATACAATCAGTACTTATTTTTAGTTTGCTCATTCCTATCCTTTTTATGTCCTTTATTATGGAGCCACCCAACAAAGACATATTTAGAGGCACTCATCTCAGTTGTTTCTTTTCCAAAATATAAAGTTAATATTTGCTCTAAAGGAACTCTGTAGGGACTGTTTAAGCCAACTGTTCCCCCAAAGTCTTTCCATGTTGTTTTACCGTAATTGTGTAACTAAAGAGTGTTGCATTTTATTACCAGAATAAAATGTAAGATTGCGGGTAAGATTTGCCCTTTGGCCAGAATTTTAGTTATTGCCCCAATAATTCTGTGTAACAAACTGCTTTGCAAAGCTCATTTACTTATCAATCACTTATATCCTAACAGGTCTGAACTTCTATAGGCTGCAGTCTGCCTGATCCTCAGCAGGAAATTTCTGCTTCAGGCTGCAGTAATGCAGCAGCCCTTCTTTTGCTGCCTAGCTGTGAGTTGGCTCTGCTCCACATGACTCTCGTCCTCTTCCTCATATCAGCGGGCTAGCCAGCGCATGTGATAGTGTTTGAGTATTTGTCCCTTCCAAATCTCATGTTGAAATGTGATTCCTAACGTTAGAACTGAGGCTGAATAGGAGATGTTTTGGTCATGGGGTTGGATTTCTCATGAATGGCTTGGCATCCTCCACTTAGTAATGAGTAAGTTCTCACTCTAAGTTCATGTGTGATCTAGTTGTTTAAAAAAAGACTCTGGAAGCTCCCTGCTTCACTCTTTTGTTCCCTCTCTCGTCATGTGACATGTGACCATGAAGTTCCCGTTTCACCTTCCACCATGAATAAAAGCTTTCTGAGGGTTTCATCAGAAGCTGAGCAAATGTTGGTGCCATGCTTGTATAGCCTACAGAACCATAAGTCAAATAAATCTCTTTTCTTAATAGGTTACCCAATCTCAGGTATTTCTTTATAACAACACAAAATGAAGTATCACAGCATGTTTACCACAAGTAATAACAGAACTACAAGAAGGCATGACCTGCTGCACAAGTGCTTTTAAAGCCCCTACTTGCATCATGACTATTTCTATTCTTGTGGCTAAAACAAGACACATGGCTAAGCCTACAGTCAAGGGGCAGAGAAGTACACTCTCCCCTTAGTAAAAGAATGGGAAGTTATGTAACAAAGGGCATGAATACAGGTAGGCAAGAAGACTTGGGTTAATATAATAATGCAACATACCAGAATAGTATTGGCAGACATTGTCTCAGCATATATTTATATTCAGCTGTAATTTTAAAGACATCTCTTCTTTATCATGAAGACATAGACATGACAAATATATTTATCAAAACATACAGGTACCCTTCATTAAAAATATTCCCTAAAATTAAAAATGAAAGCCATTGCAAATGATAAAATATTTGAGTACATTTAGTATCAGAGTATTTTAAAATGAATGAAGATATACATTTTATTTTAATCATCTTTCACATAGTTTTTAAGGTATACATTAGAAAATGATTGCCTCAATAATGTCTTAACATTTATTATTTGACTTGGTAAAAATTAGAATTCCTGGTCTCTGAACCCACCTTCTGTTAAAATAAGACTAACTCATATTTCTTTTTTCCACTCTCATTTTATGAAATAGTAAAGTCGTGTTTCCAATTTATCTTTTTCCCCTGGATTTAAGTGATCTGTAACTTCTATTTATGTCAGTGTTTCTGAAACTCTGTTACATATTGGAATCACTCAAGAAGCTTTAGAAAAACACTGATAACCAGGACATAACCCTAGAAGCTTTAGAAAACACTCATGCCCAGGATACAACCCTAGAAATTCTGATTTAATTGGATTAGGTGGGACTTACACATCATTATTCTTTAATAATCTCCTAGGCTATTCTAACAGCCATGATCGAGAACCCAATGATTTACCGTCAAATTTAGTGTGTATAACTCTATAAATCTTTTGGCGGCAAATAAACAACAATGTAAACAAGAGCTGCCAAATTAAAGAAAGGAGATGTAATATATTGTGTGTCTGAATAGACTAGCGTGGTTTTGGGTTCAATTTGAGCAGACTCCAATGCTGTCCCAAGCCCCACCTCTCTTAATTCTTCCCGCTGGGTACTATTCTTTGTCTAGCTTTCCACCCAGGGTTACAAAATAACTGCAGGCAACTCTTGTGGTGAGGCCACATCCCTCTCCATTTATATTCAACATAAAAAGGACATCTTTTTCCACCAGTTATGGAAGAAAACACTGTGCTTTATTTAAATCATATGTCCTTCCCTAAGTCAATCACTGTGGTCAAAAAGATGAACTCATGCCTTTTGATTCAGGCCTAAATCATAAGCCATACCCAAGAGCTAGGAGTAAAAATAGCCTCCTCTTAAACAATGGTGAACAAAATTTGGCATTCTGATTCCAAAAGATAGAATTATAAGAAATTATCAAAGAACAGAAAACAATCAGTCAATTTTTTATATTTGCATTTGTAATTTAATGCCATGGAGCATGTATGTGTTGTGTTATGCAGTTTACATTATACAGATACATCATTCTAAATTATAAAAAGCATAGTATTAGAATATGTAGCAATTGTAAATTACTACAACACCAAAGTCTTTGCACTAAGTATTCAATATAATAAAAGGAAGTCAAATAAAATCAGTTTGCCTTTCTTGGCAGTAAAATATATTTATTCAGTAAATTTATTTTAAAAAGAAAAAATGTTCTTTGGAACTATTTCCTGTTTTTGCCAATTACTATTTATAGCTGGTACAATATGAAGTCTAAACTAGCCTCTACATGACTACTGATAGACTGTTGTAACTGAATTCCCAAAGTAGAGGTAATCTAGGAAATGAAATCAGAGCTTGGCATGCTCCTAATGTTTAATAATGTTAAAATTTGAAGCTTTCCAATTATTTTACCACATGAATCTAAATTATAAAGTTATGAATATAACCAGTTATAAATTCCCAACCATGATTTCAAGAGAATGTTAATATAAATAATCAGGAGATATGTATTCAACAAATTGATAGATCTCATTGTTCTCAACTTAAAATCATCATAAGATCACTTTTATAAGATTATATTAATTGGTCTAATTCAGGCTTCATTCACAAAGGTCTAAAAAAGTTATTTATTGTTTTTATAAGTTTAGCTATATATTAAAGTGGAAGATTTTCTTATAAAATGCCTAGGTATATTTTGCCTATGGTCAACTTAAGTTAGAATAATCTTTTCAGTTAGGATATGAAAATGTTGTTTCCTCCTTTACAAATGGTAGCACTGGAAAATGATAGGTAGGTGGTATCATGTTGTACGAATTTGACAGACTTCTGAATATTTTTAAATTAATCACTTTAAAATTAAACTTATCTATTTCATAATTTAAATAACTTTAAAAGAAGTCACTTTCTTTGAACTTTTAAATAAGATATAAATCCGTAATTATATTTCTGAATAATTAAAAATGGATATCAAGTTTCTTTTTCTAATCAAAGATTTAAAATTTTAATGAGTATTTATTAAAATGCTGAACAGTTTGAGACAATTCTGAAAAACTGTACAAATAGTAATTAAATGTAAGATGAAAAATCAAATGTATTACAAGACCAAAATAAGACTCTAAGATGATGAAGTTGAAGAGAAAAAAGTGAGAGAGAGAGAGAGAAAGGGAAGACAGAGTGGGGAGAGAGAGAGCCTGAGTGAAAGTAGCAGGTCATGGTAGAAAATATAGAACATAGGTTCTTAACGAGAACACATGGAGACAGGAAAGGGAACATCACACACTGGGGCCTGTTGTGGGGTGGGGAGAGGGGGGAGGGATAGCATTAGGAGATATACCTAATGTAAATGACGAGTTAATGGGTGCAGCACACCAACATGGCACATGTATACTTATGTAACAAACCTGCACGTTGTGCACATGTACCCTAAAACTTAAAGTATAATAATAAAAAAAAAGAACATAGGTTCTTATACATTTTAAAATTTCACAGGGAGAGATTTCACAAACTGTTTAAAGCTTTCAAAATCCAACTTCAACTACATACAACTTTATGCTATTCTCTCAAAATGTGAGAATTAGACTCATTAAATGATCTGAGAATATGATTATTAATGGTGTTCATTCACTCAACACATATTTATTGAGTCCTCTGTGCCAGGGATTCTTCTAGGCTCTGAGGATAGTATTGAAAAAATAAAATAAAACCACAAAATATATCTTACTGCCTGGAGTGTGTGTGTGTGTGTGTGTGTGTGTGTGTGTGTGTGTGTGTGTGTATGTGCATATATATATATGTGTATATATATATGTATAGATATGTATAGATATGTATAGATATACATATCTATACATATATATATATATATATAATATCTCACCTCCTGGAGTGAAAGGGTCAGACAAAAATAAAATTAAGTAAATTCTTCGGCATGTTAGAGGTGCCAAGTATGAGAGAAAAAGTTAAACATTAGGTGGGAATAAAAAGTGTTGGAAATGGAGTGAGTGTTGAAAATTATAATTGGCATGGCCTAGGAAGTCCTTACTGAGAAGCAGACATTTTGGTAGAGACCTAAAAGAAGCAATGGAATAAATTATCTGAATATTATATAGACTGCATTTTTGTGTCCTCTCAAGATTTATATGTTGAACCTCTAGCCCCCAACATGATTTTATTTGGAGATGAGGACTTGGGGCATAAATTAGAGTTAGATGAGGTCATGAGAGTGGACCCTAGTCCCATGGGGTAATGAATTTATAAGAATATAAATTCACTTTAAATATCTGTCATGTGAAGTCACAGCAAGAAGGTGGCCTTCTTCAAGCCACGAAGAGAGATCTTACCTGAGACCAGAACTGCTGGCCTGCTGGCACTTTGTTTTTTTGTTTTTTTTGTGTTTTTTTTTTTGAGACAGAGTCTCGCTCTGTCGCCCAGGCTGGAGTGCAGTGAGGAGATCTCGGCTCACTGCAAGCTCCGCCTCCCGGGTTCACGCCATTCTCCTGCCTCAGCCTCCCCAGTACCTGGGATTACAGGCGCCCGCCACCACGCCCAGCTATTTTTTTGTATTTTTAGTAGAGACGGGGTTTCACCGTGTTAGCCAGGATGGTCTGGATCTCCTGACCTCATGATCCGCCTGTCTCGGCCTCCCAAAGTGCTCGGATTACAGGCTTGAGCCACCACGTCCGGCCCTGCTGGCACTTTGATATTGGATATTTGATATTTGATATTGGAATTCTCATGTTTAAGCCACCCAGTCTGTGATATTTTCTTATGCCAGCCCAAGCTGACTTAAGACAAATATCAAACAGAGCATCCAGCATGCTACATCATTCCTGTGGGAGGAGTGGGCCTGGTGTGTTTATGTTTGTGAAATAAGAAGACACTTCAGATTAGATATGAGGGGGCTGACAAGGAGAGTTGTAGGAGGTTACTTCAGAGAGGTACTGGGGGCATGATCATGTAGGTCCTTATAGATCACAGAAAGAGATTAGCTTTCACCCTGAGTGAAATGAGACAACAAGGACGGTTTTCAGCAGAGCAGTGCATTTTTAAGTATTTAATAGAATTGTCTAATGAAAATACCTGACCAAAGATCTCTTTTTGGTTACTTTTTGTTTGTTTTTTTTTTTCTTTTTTCTTTTGAGACAGGATCTTAGTCTGTCACCCCGGCTGGAGTGCAGTGGGACAATCACAGCTCACTGTAGCCTCAATCTCCTGAGTCAGGTGATCCTCCCACCTTAGCCTCCTGAGTAGCTGGGACTACAGGTGCATGCCACCACACCTGGCTAAATTTTTGTATTTTTTTGGTAGAAATGGGATTTTCACCATGTTGCCCGGCTAGTCTCAAACTCCTGGGCTCAAGTGATCCACCCACCTCAGCCTTTCAAAGTGTTGGGATTATAGGCATGAGCCACTGAGCCTGGCCTGGGTGATTTTCAGTTACAAATTTAATATTCTTAATAGCTACAGGGTTATTCAAACTACCCATTTTATATTAGGTGAGTTGTAGTAGTTTATATTTTTTGAAGAATTTGTTCATTTTACCTAAGTTGTTCCATTTATGTGTATAAAGTTTTTCACATTCCCTTATCACTTGGTTGTCTAATTTCTTTGTAATGATACACCCTCATTTTGTTCCTGAGACTGGTATTTATGGCCTCTCTCCTTTCGGCCCTGTTTACCTTGCTAGAGTTTTGTCAATTGTATTGCTCTTTTCAAAGAGCCAGGCTTTCTTTCACTGATTTTCTCCATTTTTTTCTGTTGTCAATTTCATTTATTTCTGCTATTATTTTCAGTATTTCTTTCTTTTTCCTTGATTTAGATTTATTGTGCTCTCTTTCTAGTTTCTTGAGCTGGAAGGTAAAATTGTTATTTGGAACTTTTTCTCTTTTCTAATGAAGTTATTTTTTGCTAGAAAATTTCCATTCAGCACGATTTGAGCTGCATCCCATAGATTTTGGTATATTGTTTTCATTTTTATCCTGTTCAATATGTTTAACATTTCCTGCAAGACTTTCTTTGTGTTCCATGGGTTTTTATAAGGGCGTTGATTAATTTCTAAGTGCTTGGAATCTTTTTTAAATTTTTTTGTTAAAAGTTTCTAGATTGATCACATTTTGGCCAGACAATATACCCTGTATGATTTTCGTTCTTTTGAATTTGTTGAAGTTTGTTTTATATCCCAGGATTTGTTGCATGTTGATATATATTCCATCAGCCTTTGAAAAGAGTATGCATGTCCCATTGTTCTTGGTTGGAGTATTCTACATATATTGATTAGATCCTGTTGGCTGATGGTGGTGTTGAATTCTATTCTTTCAGTCTCCAAAAATAATTTTGGAATTATCTTACTTTTCAGTTTGTACTTCACTTATTTTTCATCTTCGTTATTGAGTGCACACACATTTAGAATTGCTATGTCATTTAGGTGAATTGATTACTTTATCATTACATAATGTTCCTTTCCGTTCGTGATAAATCTCTTTATAAATACTAACATCTGCTTTACCTAATATTAATATAGCTACTCTTGCTTTCCTCTTAATAATATTTGTGTTGTATATGTTTTTTAATCTTTTTACTTTAAAACTGTATATGTAATTTTATTTAAAGTGAATTTCTTATAGACAGTATACAGTTGGATCAGTTATTTTAATCCATTCCTCCAATCTCTGTCTTTTATTAGTATATTTGAACCATTTAAGTTCAATGTGATATTGAAAAACTGAAGCTTAATTCTGCATTTGTATTGTTTTCTGTTTGTTCTTTCTTTTTCACTTCTCTGTTTCCTTCTCCTTCCTTACTGTGTGTTACTTAAACATATTGTGAAAGTCTATTTTGAGAGATTTATAGTGTTTTAAAGTGTATCACTTTTTAGGTTTTGTTGTTGTTGTTGCTGCTGCTGCTGCTGCTTTAGCTATTACATTTATGTATTAGTCTGTCCTCATGCTTCTGATAAATACATACCCGAGACTGGGAAATTTACAAAAGAAAGAGGTTTATTGGACTTACAGTTCCACATGGGTGGAGAGACCTCACAATTATGGTAGAAGGTGAAAGCACATCTCACATGACAGCAGACAAGAGAAGAGAGCTCGTGCAGGAAAACTTGCATTTTAAAACCATCAGTTCTCGTGAGACTTATTCAGTATCACAAGAGCAGCACAAGAAAGACCCACCCCCATGATTCAATTACCTCCCACCAGGTTCCTGTCATAACACAAGGGAACTGTGGAAGTTACAATTCCAGATGAGATTTGGGTGGGAACACAACCTAACCACATCAATTATGTACACATAACTTATCAAAATCTACTGATGAGTACATTTTACCAGTTTAATTGAAGTATAAAACCCTTGTCTCAGGCCTGGCACAGTGGTTAATGCCTATAATCCCAGCAGTTTGGGAACCAAAGGTGGGTTAATCACTTGAGGTCAGGAGTTTGAAACTAGCCTGGCCAACATGGCAAAACCCTATCTCTATTAAAAATACAAAAATTAGCTGGGCATGTGGCGCATGCCTGTAATCCCAGCTACTCAGGAGGCTGAGGCACAAAAATCACTTGAACCTGGAAGGCAGAGACTGCAGTGAGCTGAGATCCTACCACTGCACTCCTGCCTGTGTGACAGAGTGAGATCTTCGTCAAAACAAACAAAAAAACCGTCTCCCTTTATGTCCCATATTTTCTCTCCTCCAGTTATAATATATATGTCACAAATATTTTTTTCTACATACACTGAGAATCACAATTGATGGTTTATAATTATTGCCTCAAACATGAACATAATTTATAAAGCTCAAGAGAAGAAAAACTTATTGTATTTAGCCACATGTTTACTCTTTTTATATTCTTCCTTCCTGATTTTCCCAGATTCCTTATTTTATCCCTTCATTTCTGATTGGAGAAATTGTGTTAACTCTTATTTTAGGATAGCTCTGCTACCATAAAACAGGGCTGCTGTCTTACTCTTGCCAGGTGGGGTGGAAGCACAGGTTCTGCATTTAGCCTCCATTGACACCTGAGATGGGGAAAGGGATCCTCATTATTCAGAGTTAAAGTTCTGACTCCCCAAGAGGTCTCCTCTGACACTATGTGTGTGTGTGTTGTGTATGTGAAGGGATGATCTTGTTACTGCTGTATGATGGTGGGTGTCCTGATTCTCCACTGAGCTCCTTTGATATCACTCTGGTAAGTAGTGGGGAGGGATGGCTTGTCACTACTGGGTAGTGGTAAAAGTTTATGTTCCCCACGTAGCCTCTACTGTTATTATGGGTGGGTATGTATGTGTTGGGGGATGCATGAGGAGGATGAAATACCTGGCATCCCACTTCACCTTCTCTAATATCACCCTGGTGAAGGTGCTCCCTACTTGGCCTTTGCTGGCAGGGGTAGATGTGGGGCTACAGTTTTTTTGATGGTATTGGGTGGGAGCATATTCCATACTGTTTGCTCCTTCCGTGATCCTTTTGCTAGAGAAAGCAGGCTTTGCTTGGGCTGTTTGTTTGTTTGTTCTGTCTCTATCTGTTGGTGTTTCTAAGTTACCACTTTCTCTAGTATCCAGGCTGGGATATATAAAGTCAAAGAAAACCCAGGAAAATTACCACATTTTTTCTTGGGTCTTGAGATTCTTAGCTGGTTTGCCTTCTCTCTACTGTTAAGAAACTTAAGTCTCTTTTACATTTAATGTCTAGAAATTTTAGTTGTATTTAGTGGTAAGAATAGGAAAAAGTATATCTTCCCAAAAACAAAAGTCTTGACTTAACCATTATTCTGATTACTGTCTTCTGAATGGGAACAAAGTTTAGAATTGGGCAGAATAGTTAGGACATTATTGCTGTTATGCAGGAGACTTATGTCAGCATAGTAACTTTGAAAATAATGAGCTGTGATTAGATTCTGGATATATTGTTAAAATAGTGGCACGAATATTTGATGTATTAGATGCAGAGTGAGGGAAAAAGAGAGCTATGAAGTATGACTCTAAAATTTTGGTCTAAGCAACTGAAACAATGGACTTACCCTAAACTGAAATAAGGAAGAGTGTGGGTAGGCGAAATCTGAAGAGAACAGAAGACCAGAAGTATGATTTTCACATAACATAGTGATTTATATTAAACATCGAATAAAAGTATTGCATAGCCAGTTGGAGATGTGATCCAGAGTTTGGTGGAGAGGCCTGGGATAGACAAATACATTTCAGAATCATCATGTTACTTAAGACCCTGAGAGCAAAGATAACTAAGGGAAAGACAGAGCTAGAGAACAGAACAAAAGACTGAGTCTTAGGGCCCTACCATATTAAAAGGTCTTGGAGAAGAAGAGAAATAGGCAAAAAATAATTGGCCAGAAAGGTAAAGAAAAATCAGAGTGTGGCATCTTGAAAGCAAGAAAATATGTCAAAAAGAACGGGGAGGTCGACAGTAATAGAATGTTTCTGATAGGTCAAATGAGAGGAGAAGAGAGATCTCTAATTGGATTCCTGTCTTATCTTTTCAGGCTGCTATTGAAAAAATACCTTAAACTGGGTAATTTATAAATAGCAGAAACTTATTTCTCTCACTGTTCTGGAGCCTGGCAAGTCCAATATCATAGTGCCAGCAGATTGTGTCTGGTGAGGCCCCATTCCTCATAGATGGTGCCTTGTTGATACGTTCTCACATGGCAGAAGGGACCAGGAGGCTCCCTCAAACCTCTTTATAAGGGTATTAATCCCATTCATAAGGTAGAAGCCCTCACAGTAAAATCACTTCCTAAAGGCCCCATATTTGAATAATATCACATTGAGTATTAGGTTCCAACATATGAATTTGGGGAGGATACCAATATTCAGACCCTAGAAAGTTATTACTATATAATAATAGATACATTAGTTTGTTATTGTTTCCATACAAATTATTACAAACTGAGTGGTATAAAACAGGAGAAATGTATTGTTTTCACAGTCCTGCTGGCAAGATATCTGATATCAAGGTGTCAGCAGGGCTGCACTCCTCCAGAGGCTCTAAGAGAGAATCTTTTCCTTCTCTCTTCCAGGAAAAGGCCGGTAGGGATCCTGGCAATCTTTCACTTGTGGCCTTAAAATACCAGTTTCTACCTTCCCCTCAGTGTATGGTTTAACTTCTCTTTTCCTCTCTCTGATAGACACTTGTGGAATTCAGATCCTAAACAGATAATTCGGGATAACTTCCTCATCTCAATATCCTTAAATTAGTCATGTTTTCAAAAACTTTACAACATAAGGTAACATTCAAAGGTTTGATGGATTAGGATATTGGGCATATATTAATATTTAGGTGCTATTATTAATTTCCCATAATGAATAGAACACGTATATTAAATTCGTATTATTGTATCAGGATATTAAATGAGGCAATTCCTCAATTTTCTCAGAATTCCAGCTAAAAGGCAATGCTGAGGCCAATAGTAATAAGGACCCTTTGTGGAGCTTGAAACAAGAAAACAAAATGAGCCTTACTATGATTTTGTGGCATATCTCACTGCTAGCTTATATGAAAGATGCGAGAGGCCTTGCAGAGATCCTTGAGAGATAATGTGGAGGAGAATATTTTTGTGGCATTTCTCTTACTATGGACAAATGAGGGAAGAAGAAAAAAATAGTTAAAGAAGTTAGAAAGGTAGTTGCCAGAAAAAAAAATACTTACTTTAGCTGAGTACTTGGAGGAATGCAGAAACTAAAAGGCCCAGAGTTGTCAAGAGGCTGCAGCAGAGAGTGTCAAAGATTAACATGTCTCCTTGGGCCCGGATATCCTTTGCTAGAGCTGGAGGTTATCAGCATTGCAAGGTTAAGAAGGAGAAAATTGGCTAAAATGTACAAATCCTCTTGTGTGCCAAATGGACACATGAGACTGTAGCCTGGTTCAAACTATCTTGAACAAACACAATCTGAAAGAATTGGCTGCTTCTTGGACTATGTGGATCCCCACCAGATGTACTTGAAAACACCAGGACTGGTAATGGAGGAACCTATAAGAGATCACACAGGGAGTGCAGCAGCTGCACCAGAAAAGGAGAAACTACCAACTAGAATCCAAAAACACGAGAAGGTAAAGCTGTCTCTTCCTCACATCCTTCTCTTCCTGCCCATCTCACTGTCCTTGGGAAACCAAAAACAGCAGAATGAGTTGTGGAACATAAGGAGATAAAGGAGTAAAAGAACCTATAAGGTGCACGGTCCTCACAGCTGAAATACAAAGGACTCCAACCTGAGCTGTAGTTAATTTGTTATAAGATGGACGTTTTTATTTAGATATAATAGTACTGGACTTTTTAATAAATAAAAATTATGCTGCTGGTACCTGGAAGTACCTGAAGACTTACGAGAACCATTGAATAAAAAGAGACATTCTAGGCTGTTGCTACAGGGAAATATTAAAATGAAAAAAACAAAAAGATTTATTTTTATTTTTATTTTTGTTTTTTAAGTTCTGGGACACATGCACAGCATATGCTGGTTTGTTACTTGGGTAAATGTGTGCCATGATGGTTTGCTGCACCTATCAACCCATCACCTAGGTATAAACCCAGCGTGCATTAGCTCTTTTTCCTAATACTCTCCCCACCACCCCTCCCCTGACAATTGCACTCTTCAAGTTCAGATTTTTTTTTAATAAATGTGTATATAGTAGTAACATATTGGGCTTTTAATATGTAAATAAATGCACTCTCTCTTGATTTCACCATTAAATCAATCAGTGCATTGAGTTAGTACATCAAGACATGTATAAACTACCTTAACAATTTTGGATCGCTTCTTATCATCACCATGCCCTCTCTCCATCCCTTTCTGCCTCATGCTGGCACTAAAGAATGCCAGTCTCTTATTTTACAAAAGAAAGCTGATATCGATGATCTTCCTCCACAGCAAAGAAAATATACAGAACACATTTCTCTGTGCACCAAACTGTCCTCAACTCACTACATATTTTCAGTGTATGTCAAAATGAAAGTGCCAAAACTGCCCTAAGGGACTATGAATACAACTAAAAAGAAAGAAATAAACCTATTTTTTCCCATTCAAAACTGAAGCAACAAATCTCAGAGTATTTTTTTTTTAATTTTGGAAAAGAATGGTATCTTTACAGTGGAAATACAGAATGTGCAGCCCAAATATTTTGCTGGGTGGAGCAGTGCATGAAAGGAATCTATGACAACATACAGAAAAAAAAAATTTAAGAGTATCTTGATGTGCAGAAACTAGCAATCAAAATAAGCTTCACTGGTGATTTGTGTGATTTGGGGAATGCAGCTGCCCATCCCACCAGCTAACCCAGAAAAGGTAACCCAGCTGTTTCTAGTGAAGAACCACAACAATGGGAATTCTGTTCTCTGGGAGACATGAGGATTAGCTGGTGATGATCCGGATTGTGTGCAGGACCACACACAACTCACTTCAAACAGAAACCCAAAGTGCAGCATTTGTGTGCCATGATACTTTTAAAAATCTGAACTAATCTCTTAACGTAATGCACCATTGATAAAATAATTCTAAATAGAGCAGTACTACTGCATATTATTTTTAGAAATACGACTTCAAAAATGTTCACTGGTTTCTGAGCTATTTAAATAGCTGCCTATTTTATCTTAATTCATAGTAAAAGATTTTGACTTCTTCCCCCTGAACATGTGTTTAGAAGTAAACATTTATAGGAACAAGACTGCCTCCATTGACCCCACTCCCAATTCATTCATTATAATTCATTCATTATGTGGTTAGCCTTCCTTTGAATCTACACTTTTCCTTCCTATTTTTATTTAAGCAAATAAAATTTGGTTCTATTTTAATTAATAATAAGCCTTTTTAAGAAACAAAAGTTTTGTTTTGTTTTGTTTTTAATAGAACCAAAGGTCTCAATATAAAAATAGAAAACTATCATTGCCAAAAAGGAAACAAGGCTGATCCTTGGCTTGTTTTACTCCTGCTTAAAGTATTTTCATAGTTCGTTATTACCCACAGGAGAAAGTCCAAACTCTTTCAGAGCACAAAACTTTTCATTCCCTCATTTCATCTTCACCCACATCTCTGGCTGCTCGCTATTTTACCCCTGTAGTAAGTAGCATTTCAGTTTTCCAAAATTTCCATTTTTTAAATTACTCTGTGGCTTGTCAAATGCAATGTCCTCTGCCAGTAATAAATGCCTCTCTGCCAACTCCAATCAACCTAGAAAACTTCTGCTCATTTTTTAAAGATCCAGTTCAAATTTTACTTTATTAGGTAAATCTTTCTTGGGCAATTTTGTGCAGAAATCCTGTACCATCCCTTCTGCTTTGACATATTCTTATAATAGTCCAATCACATTGTATTACAACAGGGTGATTATGGGTAAGTCTCCCATTTGAGGATTTCTACTTCTTCAAAGACAAGGTCTTTTATATTAATATCTATGTTTTTAAGGCCCAATATGTTGATTGTTTAGAATATAGTAGACATTAGGTAAATATTCCTTGGAGTTTTAAAACAATGTGTCAATGAGTTGATTTTTCATGTTTTGGTTCTAGAAATAGAGTGCTACCTCTCAGACAGCCTGCCCAACCCTGCCCTCTGATCAGGACTTGGAAATAGAAGATGGACAAGTCTTTTGGTTGACGTAGTCCTTAACCAGGAGTGGAAAGCTAAGCTAAAATGAATTGCTCCAAAGTATCTTCCTGTTCTACTGTCCACATCTTGTAAAACGGTCCTATTTTAAAAAATGTAGATAGTTAAGCCATTACCCAATACTCATGTTGAGAGAGAGAGAGAGAGAGAGAGAGAGAGAGATTTAGCTAGAAACCATTATAAATTGTATATAAATAATGCAAAGGTATGCTATTACTGGACCTTTTTGTTTCCAGGCCCTTATCCCATTCAAGCAAATGCTACATTTCCATTGTAACATTCAAAATGGTACAGAGCTATCTACAGAAACATGCCTCCCATACACATCTAATTCCGTCTTCTAAGGTAACTAAGATTGTCAATTTAGTATGTGTCCTTCCACATATTTTTCATTTGGTGTGTATGTGTGTTTGGGGTGCTTTATTTATGATATTGAGTTTCAATATTATTATGCATGTTTCTTTTCCAGCTTTCACTTTTTTCTTCTTTTTGTAGTTTTTACTAATGTCTGAAACATGTCAGTACTAGAATTCCTAGCAGGTATTATATGTTTGAAAACTTTCTTCCTCCGTCATTAAACACTAATTGTGACATATTTCGCCCCACCTTGAAGCCCTTCAGTCAACTAGAAAATCAAATAGGATTATAATCCCTTCACTTTAAAGAATGCCATTTCACACAATAACAACTTGCAACACCCAGACAAGTCTGATCAGGTTCTCTCTCCCTGTCTCCCTCTCTCTTTGTCTCTCTTTGCTTCTGTCCCTTCTGTGCAGAGACCATGGTTTAACATGTAAACTCCAACAAATTGTATTTTGTAAATTTTGGGTACCAAATAAATAGTTGTCAAAATGAATGAATGAATTTCTCATGACATTCATCCTATTCCAGCTTTCTTTACGGATTACAAAATCAACGATATTCTGTGGATCTATATTATATTCCTTTGATGATCATCAATGCTTAAAATATTATCTAAAGAACTCCATATTAATACAATGCAAAGCCATATATATATAAAATAAATTTATGTTTTACTGTGAAATTTTGTCAAGAAGAACTTTATGAATGTTTTTATTTGATACAAAGTTAAAAATAATAATTAGGAGAAACATTTCCATTGACTTAGTACCATCACTACCACTGTTGATCTGCAAGTACTTGGACTAGGTCAATAAAAATTTTTCTTGACTTAAACAGAAATACACAGACTTGAAAGACGTTTATCTTCAGTTTTTATTCTCTCATTGTTTTTCCTTATCATTACACTCTCATCTGTGTTCTTCCTTTCTTTACATCTATTTTGGTTTTTTACCACTATTTACACTCTCAAATGCTCTATTTTGCTTTTCTAACCATTCCGCTTTCAAGTGTTTTTATCCCTCCCCAAATATGTAAATGATTTTTTAAATATTAACACTATCCTGTCAAAAAAAAATGTAGTATTTTCTATTTTTTGATGTGTATCTACATCTCTGTAATCCAGCTGAAGGTGGTGGTAGAAAATATAAAGAGATTTAATCATTTTTTTAAAAGTCATTTTATATGGACAACAGAGACTCAGAAGGATGAGGATGTGGAGTGGATAACAAGAAATCAGTTAATGAGTACAGTGTACATTATTCAGGTGATGGATACCCTAAGAGCCCTGAATTAACCATGATGTAATCTATGCATGTAACAAAATTGCACAGGTACCCCACAAATATATACAAATAAAAAGAAGAAAGAAATCATTTTATAGCTGAGGAAACTGAGATCCCAAAAGCCAAATATCTCATTTACAATAAAAGCTAATAAAAGCAGATTCTAACCTAGAAATATGTCTACTGATATTTAGTCTTTGTTTTTTTGTTTTTTGTTTTTGTTTTTTTTGTTTTGTTTTGTTTTTTTTATTTTCCCACTGCAATTCAACATCTTTCAAATAAAGCCAGCATTTTTCTACAACCACTTAGTTTGGTACCATGAGTTAAGTTTGCATTAATATTAAATGTTTATTATATACAAAGAATCAATTAATATCATTTCATTAAAAGTAGACTATATGGGTAATGGTTCTGTTCTTTATGTTTCTTATAAGAAACATACAGTCTATGACATTGACACTTTTACATTTAATAAAATAACAACCAGATATTTAAGAACTTTAATTAACATTTTCAACTCCCAGCAAACATGTCTGTAATAGAGTTTCTAAATTATGCCCACAAAATAATACTGGTTCTTATTAAACAAGAAAAGTAATGGGATACTTTAAATATGTTCTCATAACCTGCAATGGAAAGAAACACGCACATACACTAACAGCTTTAAGTAAATTCTCACAGGTTCACTAAAAGTCTTTTTAGTATCTAAAGCCCCAAACATTGGAACAAAATAGAAGGCAACTATAAAAGTAGATGATATTTATTATAATGACCACCGGCAGTTTTGATATTAAATAAATATTGTAAATAATCTGAAAGTAATGGTTTATTTTATCATCTACTATACTGACTAGTATGTTGAAGATTTTCTTCTAAATAATTTTTCCAATAGGATGACATAATCACCCCTTTTATAAAAATATGTTTTCATGACCTCTATTCTAAAATTACCTCAGTTTCCCAGAATGCTTTCCAAGGCTTTTGGCTTTTTAGGAAGAAAGGGATGTTGCAGTTGTAAAATTTTGATAAGAACTTGATTTCAACATTAAAACCTTAGACTAGGTTGCTTCACTTTCTAAGATGTTTAACACAAACACACACACGTGCAAATATATATATATACACATATATATTTGTTGAATGAATACATGAATTTCTCACTACATTCATCCTGTTCCAGCTTTCCTTACAAATTATGAAATCCATGGTGTTCTGATGCATCTATATTTTCTTCTTTTGATGATGGTCAATGCTTAAAATATTATCTAAAGAACTTCATATTAATACCATACAAAGCCATATATATGCCACATATATGAGTGTATATGTGTGTGTATATATATATCCACATGTGTGTGCGTGTGTGTGTGTGTGCGCGCATGTGTGACATTAGCAGTAGCAATCCCCATAGCCTTTCTAGTTATTCTCATTGGGCCCATGCCCTTTTGCTTGCCAAACCAAAGCACCAAAGATTTTAGCAGCATAAACTACAAACATAGTTTATGTTACAAGCTACCCTCTGATTCACTGAGAAAATAATAACAGCATTCCCAAATATTTAGGAAACAGTCTTAAAAAATAAGTAGGTTGTCTCCAGGGCCTTAAGGAAAGCACTATAAAATGAGATAAATTAGAGTGTGGGAAGGAATGGCATCTATAAAATATCCTATTAATAAAATAAAAAATACAAATTAAATATCATTTTATCTTATCTATGGAAATTATGACATAAAGCTTCTGAACAGACTGCACCTTAGTGCTCATATGGTAATTGCAATTTACTGGCAAGTTAGCTTTTCTTAAGTTCTTAATATGTGAGGTCTGTTCATAGGTGCAAAATGCAACACCTATTAGATTTAGTGGCAGAGACTGATCATATGAAGATATTGCCCAGAATTAGCTAAAGTCTTATGGTGCTCATTCTGATTTTTTCCAGCAGTCAAAATAACTAGAAAAAAAATATGACTGCTAATTTTGGGAAGTGGCAATAATATTTTTATATAGGGAAATTCTTTTCAATAATATTTTCTGTTTGTGACACCTTGAAAATAATAAAGAGTATAATTATTTTAAAGTGTTTATACACGTGCAATATATACTTCTATATGCATAGAGTCTCAAAAAGGGATCCTGGTTCACAATCACTTAATTATTCTTAAAGGCTAACCACAAACATCTTTTTCCCCATTAAACTATTTCTATTGAATTAAAACATAATTTTGATTACCTGCCAATCTTTGGCTGAATAAAATAGATTTGGAAGTGGCTCATGGCTTACTTTATAAAAGGTGTGTAGTCATACATTATTCACTGTGGGATACCTCATAGATAGCTATTTTAAATTCTTGATTATTCAAAAAAATTTCATATTTCTTGAGTACTTTAGGAAGCATTGAAAAGTGATTTTTAAATGCATTATAAAAACCAATTAAACACATAATGTTTATAGATCTGGGAGAAAATTACTGGACATGTAATCTTCAATTAGTATAACCAGTAAAGTCCTCAATGCCAAGCCAGCAAGCCACCATTTCCTTCTGCTGTAGTCTGCAAGGTTCTTTCCTTCCTTCCTTCCTTTCTTTTTTCTTTCTCTTCTCCCCTTCCTTCCTTCATTTTTTTCCTTCTTTTTCTTTCTTTCCTTTTTTCTTCCTTTCTTTCCTTTCTTTTTTCTTTCTTTCTTTTCTTTCTCTTCTCTCCCTTCCTTCCTTCCTCTCTTTCTTTCTTTCTTTTTCTCTCTCTTCCCCTCTCTCTTTCTTCCTTCCTTTTTTTTTTTTTTAACAGGATCTTGCTATGTCACATAGGCTAGAATACATTGGCGACATCACAGCTCACTGTAGCCCAGAATTCCCAGTAGCTGGGACTAAAGGAGCGCACAACCACACTCAGCTTGCTTGTTTTTTTCTGTCACCTCCTCAGTGCTTTATACTTCTGCAGCAACTGTTTTGACCTTGCCCTTTACCTTTTAAATCATGGCATGCACATAGGTATACTAGTAAGGATCACTAAAATTCAGAATTGTTTTATGGTTTAAAAAACTGAAATCATTTACACGCTATGTAAGCATAGATTCAGCATAAGGATATTTTATATTAATGAGTTCCCAGAAAACTATGGCAAGAAATGTTTGCCAGAATGAGGAAATGTGCAAGGGGATAAAATATAATATATATCAAAATATTTTACAATAATATATATTTAACCCTGTGCAGACATTCAGTTGTCTTTTTCTAATTTAAAATTAATAAAATCTCGCCACTACCCTACAAGACATTTTGATAGAGATTTCTTGAAATTTATCAGTTGTGTGGTTTTTTAATAGATTCAAAAGAGTTTCATTGTTGTATATATTTATCTGAGCATTTTATAATATGGAGTACAAAATGTCTACCAAATACCCCAAAACTCCTTTCAAATTAATAAAAATAGCATAATCCATTTTTTATACAATATAGTACAGCCAAATATTTTTGAAAACATTTTTTAAAGATGAGAGTGGGTAAGCTAGTAGTTCTGAGCAAATTAAATGTCTTCATTAAGTTATTTGGCAAAGCTGCCTCAACAACTTGACAAACTTAAATAGTTCAATGCTCATCAAATTAAAGTTTATACCCTTTAAGAATGGGACTTGGTACTTGTTTGCTGGAAAGCTGCTAAATTTTGGATTAGCAGGAGGAATGTTCATTTATTGGAATGTATTTTGAAAATTGACTGCATATATTATATACCATCTGCAATTCATAATACTGCCAGTAATAGCTACCACTTAGGTTTTTCCACCTGTGGATCAGAATGTTAATTTATCATCTGGGATTGTCTTATTTTATTTGCACGATTCCCAATAAGGAAGTTTTACATGAGAAAACTCTCTTTCACATATGAGAAAACTGATCCTCAGATGGAATACATATGCTCAAGATCACATCTTGATTGTCAACAAAGGGAAGTGATCACAAGTCTCATGAAACCCCAATAATAGTGATTATCAGAAGAAAAACGTGAGTGAAAGCATTAAGGCAACTAAAACACACTGAACAAAAAAAAAATGCAAAAATATGTGATATTTATAGAACATGAGAAGAATAGAATTGATTCAATTCCAATAATTCAATTATTAATTCTCAATATTAATGAGAGAAGATTCCATCAGAAGAGGGATGTTGGAGTCTTTCTGGTCCTTGTTTAGTCGTCTCTTCAGTGCAACTGTATGGTCTTCACAATGAAAACTATATATTGCAGTTTCCATTCATGTAAGGTTGTAAATATTAGTTAAACGACTTAGATATTCACAGGATAGACCCTTCTTATCTGAGGTTCTAAAATATTTAACCTAGCTAGAATTTTTGAGCTTATAAAAATAAAAGCTATTAAACTTTTGCATAGAAAACGACAATGAATTTTCTAGCTTATCAAATGCAGAATCATAATTACTAAAAATCATCACTCTAGAACTCCAAAGGTATGATAATTATCCCTTTGTCAAAATAATTATACAATTGCTAAGATGTGAACATGTCTTTTATATTCCACTGCGCAATATCTGGATTTCTATATTACTCTTAGGGACCCTGAATGTGCTTTAGAAAAAAAATAACTAAAAATATTTATCCTTTCATTTCTTATTGTGACTCTATTTCTAAAGAGAAAACTAACATAAATTCTTAATATCTAGGGTCTTAGAAGAAGCCAATTACTCTTTTGAAAATGTTTTTTTACATGTAGAGGAGTTTCTTATTTTCTCACCAATTCTAGATGGCAATAATTACTAAACCACTAGGCAGAAGCTACTGGAAATGTTATACAGTAGTAATTACACAGATATCCTTAAATTTACTTATCTATAACCAATTTCTATTACTCTATTATGAATTACTTTCTCAGACCACCAAAATCATTCCACATATATTTCACTCAGCAATGGCTTTTCAACAATGATTAGCCCATATGCGCCGTGCTTGGTTTAGCATTCCTTTCCATTTCTGTTCTTCATATCTTGGCAACTAACCTTAACTCCTTGACATGTGCAATTTACAATCAGAACTACCTCAAATAAGCTGTTTCATTTAACATTAATGAAGAATGATGAAATTCAAGAAGTATAAAAACATCTCAAGACTCATTCTTTCTGTTTTCAGAAAACTATCAAAATACCAGCATGTAGTGTGATTATAATTTTTCTACTGCCATAATTGAAATTAACTCCCAAACAATAACAATCTCCAGACAGAAACATCAGGGCTAAAAGAAATCCTAACACTGATACGTAATGTTTTCCATACTGGATGGTAAAGCAGTTAAAATCAGTGCTGCAATGTTAGTGCTTGCATTCCACTTTTATGCAATAAATTATTACTCGTTTTGAACTTTAATGGTGATATACTTTGTTGTTTTTCTTGAATATCTACAATAGAAATGCCAATAAATTTGTGAATTTTTATCTGAACCCATTCATACTACAGGTAAAATATTCACAAACGCACAAACACGCACTCACATACATGAATGAAAACTATTCTATTAAGAAACAAAGAGAGAGTGAGGACACAAACCACATTTATAGCTGAAATTTTGAAATAATATACTATACATGAAAATTAAATAAAATCTCACTTCCATGCATTTCAAACACAATTATTGCTCCTGATTTGGAAAAATTTGAACATTGACAGAAAAAACAGTTTCCTCCCACCAGGTCCATCCTACGACATTTGGAGATTATGGGAACTACAAATAAAGATCAGATTTTGATGGGGACACAGGCAAACCAAAGTGACTGACCTAAGTTACTTTGGAAATGAATGAAATCTGTAAAACTAAAGGCAAAAAATAAAAGAAAAAAAGATTACATAAGCACCAAACTATAATTCATAAAGTTGTTTTCCATAGTGATGTGGGTTAGAAATTCTGAAACTATTATATATGTATACTGGAATTACACAATTAAATACATGGATGGCAGATGGTAAAAACTGGATTTTCATTTTTGGAGTGGGAGATTATAAGTTAAACGAAGAAAAGAGGCTAGAATGATCCATGTAGTAATGGATTAGAGTTGGACACAGTATGAGCTCATGTTTAGCTTAATATAGATACAGAGGGTTACGTACAGAAATATTTATGGGTATGCAAATCTACATGGGTTAGTATGCACACATACATTTTCTTGCTCTGTCATCTGAAAAGGCCTAGGAGCAATGACACCCAGTAGCAACAAGCATATCCACTGACCAGATAGTTGTTTCTAATACTATTCTTCAATAAAAGCAGCAAAGGTTCTTAAAGAAATTGTAACCAAACTTAGGTTCACCTGCTCAACATTCAAAAAGCCAGACACATAAGAATCAAGGTTTAGGGGAAGGAAAACAAGTTTATTTAGGTGATAGCAGCTTGAGGGATGGCCAGATTCAAGTTTCAAAAAGCCATTTCAAATTTTCAGACTGCCTAAAGGGGTTTTAAGGAAAGGTGACATGGAAACTATGTGCAAGAGTGATGTGAGGTAAAGTCTGCTTGTTGTTTTCTGATGGCTGTTTTGGGTAATGGACCATCCAGAAGCCTGGCTGATATCATCTCTATGGGAGTCGGGTTATGAATTAACTGGACACCAATTTCTTCTTGCAAGGGAGAAAATTTCAACCGCCATCTCCACTTGGTTCCTAGATTGTTTCAAGATTGGACTTGGAAATTCTCAAGCAAACAGGTAGTTAGATGTATGTGTAGATACAAAGCAAGAGAAGGGTTACTTTTAGGGTAAACTAGCAAACTAGCTGTACTGGTTACACACTGGCTAAAAAATAATAATAATAACTTGAAGGTGGAGAAACCTAACAAAAATTGGTGTAGCCAGATGATCAAGGTCAATGCCAACAGTGATAAGTCATGTTGACTGTATGTACCCTTAATATGATGTGACAAAAGTGGCATTTTTCCTCTGTGGCCTTCCTCCCAAGGATCTATAACCCCAATCAGTCTGTTACTGGAAAGGGGTTCCAATCCGGATCCCAAGAGAGGGTTCTTGGATCTCCTGCAAGAAAGAATTCAAGGCATATCTATATAGTAAAGTGAAAGCAAGTTTGTTAAGAAAGTAAAGAATAAAGAATGGCTACTCCATAGGCAGAGCAGTGGCATGAGCTGCTCAACTAAGGATACTTATTGCCACTCTTGATTATATGATAAACAAGGAGTGGATTATGTATGTGTTTTCCAGGAAAGGGGTGGGCAGTTCCCAGAACTGAGGGTTCCTCTCATTTTTAGAGCATACAGGGCAACTTCCTAATGTTACCATGGCATGTAAACTGTCTTGGTGCTGGTGGGATTGTCTTTTAGCATGCTAATGAATTATAATTCATGTAGAATGAGCAATTAGAATGACCAGAGGTTACTTTCATCGCCATCTTGGTTTGGGTGGGATTTGGCCAGCTTCCTTACCACATGCTATTTTATCAGCTAGGTCTTTATGACCTGTATCTTGTGCAGACCTCCTGTCTCATTCTATGACTAAGAACACCTAACCTCCGGGGAATGCAGCCCAGTAGATCTCAGCCTTATTTTACCCAGCCTCTATACAACATGGAGTCACTCTGGTTAAAACGCTTCTGACATAACCATCAGAAAAACATCAGACAAATTCTAATTGAAGGGCATTCTACAAAATATATAACCAGTAATCCTCAGAACTATCAAGGTTTTCAAAAACAAGGAAAGCCTGAGAAACTGTCACTGCCAAGAAGAACTTAAAGAAACATGACAACATGACTTCAACATGTGAAGTCCTGGATAGAATCCTGGCACAGAAAAAGGACAGCAGATTAAAACTAAGTGAAATATGAATAAATAATGGGATTTATTTAATAATACTCTATCAGTAATGGTGCATTGATTATAACAAATGTAGCACACTAATAATGTAAATGTTAGTAATGGGGGTGGAGATTGGGACTGGGTGCAGCATAAAGGAAATTAAAATATTTTACCCAAAAATATTTCCCTTTAACATATTTTGAAATGGCTGCCACTTGGCACACAAACAGAAGCAGCCTTGCAAAGCAGTCTTTTGTGGGGAAAATTTGCATCTGTGGAGAATCTTCATTAATGCAGCCATTCCTCCTCCCCTTTCTATGCCTTCCCTGATTCAGGAGAGATTGAGAGTCTGACACCTTTAAAAGTGTGAAAAGAAACATTTTCCATATATTCTCTCTAAGGAAGCCTTCGTCAACGTAACAAGGTCCACCTTTGCTAGCCAAGACTTTTCTCCCTCCACCCTTCCCATAACCTGTTTCACTAGAGTCTAAGCCCTTATTCTTTCCAGAACCTCAAAATGGTATATAAATTTCTATAATGCATTAGGAAACTGGATGTTTATTCTGAAGCCTCTTGTGTACACAAATTAAATAAATTTGTGTGCCTTTTATTCTATTCATCAATGTGCCTCATGTCAGTGATTTTTAGCAAACCTTTACGGGTCCAAGGGCCAATGGCCCCCAGACAAGTATCCGAGAATTCTCTGTACTATCTCTTCGGTTTTTCTGTAAATCTAAAACTGTTCTATAAAATGTCAGGCCTCTGAGCCAAAGCTCAGCCATTATAACCTCTGTGACCTGCACACACACATCCAGGTGCCCTGCAGGAGCCAAGAAGTCTGGAGCAGCCAAAAAACCACAAAGTCAAACAGCCAGTTCCTCCCTTAACTGATTAGCCAAAATTACAACATTTTACCATTGTGACTTGTCCCTGCCCTACCTTAGCTGATCAGTCAACTTTATGACATTCTTCTTCTGGACAGTAAGTCTTATGATCTTCCCACCATGTACCTTGTGACCCCCTCCTCCTCTAACAATAGATAGCCACCTTTTACCGTAATTTTCCATTACCTATCCAACTCCTATAAAACAACCTCTTCCCCATCTCCCTTCGCTGACTTTCTTTTCGGACTCAGCCCACTTGCAGCCAAATGAATAAAAAGCTTTATTGCTCACACAAAGCCTGTTTGGTGGTCTCTTCACATGGACGTGCTTGACTTAAAATAAAGTTTATTTTTAAAATAGTAGCATTTGAGTATAAGCCTGATGGCATTCAAGGAGACAGTCATGCCTACATTTGGCATTAAGAATATTCCAAGAAGAGGAAGCAAATACAAAGAGGAACAGGCTTGATATATGTATTCACGTATGAGTTAACAGAAAGAGGACAGCACTGAGTGGTGTATACCCAAGGGAGAGTAATGAGAGATGCCATCAGGGTGGTAATTGGGGGTGGCTAGGTAATGAGGGACTTTATAAGTCATGATGAGGCTCTTGGATTTTATTCTGAAACAGGAAGCAATTGGGAAGTTTCCACAAAACAAGTTGTATGATTAGACTTAATTTTAACAGGACAATTGTGATTTGTGTTATGTGATTAGTCTTGGGATTCCAGTTCTGAGATGACTGCATGGGCTCCTACCAGCCAGACCTCACACAATTAACATCCCTAAATTTGAGAGGAAAAAAAAAAAAAAGCAGTAAAAAACTCTGAAGGTTTTGGAGCATGAATAAAATTAGGAACTTTCTGAAGAAGTATAAATACTTGTCAAAAGGGACAGAAAAGGGTGAGTTACCTCCTTTTGTGGCTTTGAGACAGGAATAATACAGGGTAGTTACAGAAGAAGAAAATTCCGGGTAGCAATTTCACATGACTTGGCAAAAAGAAATTCTTGAAATAGCTGCATAAGCTAGGGGCCAATAAGACCCTGAAAAATAGGATATTGGCCCAGCCAGATAGGACAAAATATACCCAACAGGGTGCTGGATTTGGCCTGTTTCACCTACGACCTTGCTGTATGCTCATTAAACACTAAATCACACACCCATCAGCTCCATGACATTTCTAAGAACACTCATATTTGGTGTAAAAATGGATGACACTACAGTTCTGAGAAATCTTCACCTTTTTTCTTCCAGAAATCTTCATGAATATTCCACCCCTTGGTTAAAGAAACCAGTAAAGATAGAAGCCCCAAGCCCCACTGCAAGCGACTCACTCTCTTGAGTTTGCCCACACTGCCTTTTCTTGAGTGTGTACTTTTTGCTTTGCAATAAATCTTCATACTTTCACTATTTTCTGACTTGTCCTTGAGTTCCTTCTGACAATGGTGTCAAGAGCCTAGACACTGGCCAGGGTGGAGGTTATGCTGGCATTTGGGGACCTCCCCTAGCCCACTGGTATCAGCTTAAAGCTAGGTGCTATGAGAGAAAAAAAATCCATACATATTCTTGCTAGATGAAAGAACTTGAGGATAGAGTTCAGGGAAAATATGGCCACTGAATAGTGTGAGAGTCTTCCTGAAAAGATCAGCTCCAAAGCTAGCCAACCATAAATTCTATATATAAACTGTGCCTAAATCTATCCTTGATCCCTGAGCAATACAAGTATAAGGCAGACTGCAAAGACACCAGTCAAATTGATGGTATTTGCAGTTTGAGCCCATGCAAGTTAATTTCTTGCTAAAGTAAAATTATCAACTCCATTTGAAGGAATCCAATAGAATTCAAAGTTATGAATATAAAACAATCTCAATGTCTCAGATACAATGCAAAATTACTCAACATATAAAGAGCCAAGAAGATGTGTCGCATTATCAAGAGACAAGCCTCAGGTGTTGGAATTAGCAAAGGAGTCTTTCAAGTAGCTATTTTAATTACACTGAATGAAAAAAAAAAGTATGCTTCCATGAATGAAAATATTTAAAATATTAGCAGAGAAATGAAAACTATGAAAAAGAACCAAATGGAAATGTGAGAATGAAAAAGTAAAATATATGAAATCAGCGAAGAGACAGATTATCTGAACAACTTTAGCATACACCTTAATCTATTGTTACTTGTAGAAAATTAAATTCATCAATCACAGAATATACATTGTTTTCAAGTGAATATAATTTATTCACCAAGATAGACCATATCCTGGGCCATAAAACTAGTCTCAATAAAATGTAAAAGCATCTTAATATAAGGAGTACATTGTCTGGACACAATTTAGAAATCAGTAACAGTAAAATATCTAGAAAATATCAAATATACAAAATTAAATAATATGCTTCCAATTAAGTCATGTCAAAATACTACAAAAGCAATTCGAAAATACTTTGAGCTGAATGATAAGAATTTCACACGTCAAAAATCTGTGGGAGATTACATGAATAATGTTTAGCAGGAAATTTGTAGCTTTAAATGTTTGGATTAAAAAAGAGGGTTAGGCCGGTCGTGGTGGCTCACGCCTGTAATCCCAGCACTTTGGGAGGCCGAGGCAGGCGGATCACAAGGTGAAGAGACTGAGACCATCCTGGCCAACATGGTGAAACCCCGTCCCTACTAAAAATACAAAAATTAGCTGGGCGCGGTGGTGCGCACCTATAATCTCAGCTACTCGGGAGGCTGAGGCAGGAGAATCGCTTGAACCTAGGAGGCAGAGATTGCAGTGAGCCGAGATCAGGCCACTGCACTCCAGCCTGGGCGACAGGGCAAGACTCTGTAAAAAAAAAAAAAAAAAAAAAAAAAAAGATTAATCTGAAAGGGTAGAGAATAGGAGACTCAGGAATAAGGAGACCAATGTGGAGACTTCGCAATAATCTAGGCTAGATGCTTATGCTTTGGGAAAGTAATATAACAATGGAGGTAGTAAGTAATGGTTGAATGAGAATCCGGGGATAAATGTTAAAGGTAGATCTAACACGACTGGTTTATTTGATGTGGGGTGAGAGGGATCATGAGGTATGACGGTATGACTCCAAGTGTTTTGCTCTCACATGTAAGTGTGTACATTAAATGAACCCTCCATAAAATGTAGAAATAAAGACATATCTTTAAAATAATTGTGAATGTGGCTAATGACTTAACCAACCCAAAATCAGATTGATTTAAAGGATGGAGTTGTCATTAGCCAACACGGAGAGGACTGTGGCTGAAGCAGCCCTGAGGAAAAGCAGCAGTTCCTTCTTGGACAGGTCCAGTTGGAGATGCCTGTTTGATAGTTATGTGGAGATGGCAAGTAGTCAGTTGGACACATGAGTCTGGGATAGGAGAATTACCAAGGGTTGTCAATTTTGGAATTATCAGCCCACAGATTGTAGTGTAAGTCAAGAGATTACATAATATCAGAAAGAGAGGACTGAAATAGGATTTTTTGGGGATTTTCTTTAATATATAAAAAGGAACATGCTAAGCAAGTTGGCTCACTCATGCCTGTAATTACAATACTTTGGGAGGCTGAGATGAGAAGATCGCTTGAGGCCAGGAGCTTGAGCCCTCCAGCCTGATCAACAGAACAAGATCCCATCTCTACAAAAAAACAAAAACAAAAACAAACAAACAAAAAACAGTCATAGTGGTGTGCATCTATAGTCCCAGATACTGAGGAAGACACAGCAGGAGGATTGCTTGAGCAGAGAAGCTGGAGGTTGCAGTGAACTGTGATGATAACACTGCACTCCTGCCTGGAAAACAGAGGGAGACCTTGTCTCAAACAAACAAACAAACACACAAAACAAAACCAAAACATATTGGGCCCTTTAATGTTTACCAGATTAGGAAGAGAAAGAGGAAAAGAGGAACCAGAAGAGAAAGCTGAAGAGGGAGCAACCAGAGATATGGGAGGAAAACCAAGAGAATGACCTCCAAGTGAGCAAAGTCTTTCAAGGAGGAGGGTGTGATCAACACTCTCACCTTTATTTATTTGAAGTTGGAATTTTTAGGTATTAATAAATATGTGATTAAAATTAGAGTAAATGAAAGTAAAAGTACATAGTAAAAGTATATAGATTTTAAGCCTATACAACGATGGGGCTCCAAAGAAGCAATTTGGTTAAATTTGGATTAAAAATGCAATTAAGCTAGTAATGAATGGAAGCAAAAGGTTTAAATATTTTTACACTTTTAAAATTTTAATTTAGAAATAATTTTAAACTTACAAGAAATTGCAAAACAAACAATATTATAAGGAACAATTGATTAACCTTTACTCAGATCTGCCTATTCTTAATATTTGATATCATATTCTTCATGATACTCTGTGTGTATATGGGTAAATATATTATAGGGGAAGCGAATAAAACTATATATATTTTTTATTTGATGGAATTAACTGAATAAATACACAAATAATTACTGTAAATTATAAGGATTTTAAAACTACTTACATTTTTGGCATACTTTTTAATTAACATGTTCTAAGAATTGATAAAAATGAGCATTGAAAAGGAAATTGTTTAGATTTTTTCAAACTTTTTTTAAAAAAATCAATATTATTTTCACCATGATCAGAAATATAAAAATTTGGGTGACCTGATTTTGCTGGGATAATAAAAACAGAACTTTTCCTGTCACAGCACATTTTTTTTCTTTTCATAAATCTCTTCTTTTTACCACATGTGGAGAAAATGAGCAGTTAGGTGTTATATGACTTTAAAATGTCATTTTCTAGGTATTCCTAAGTCAACTACAATGATTAGGAATCCAGAATCTCATAAACTTTAAAATATAATAGTTTTAGTAAATTAGTGAAAAATCATCTCGTGCTTTTGCTTTCTATTCTGACACGCGACCACCTAAAACTAATAGTGAAAAAAAAAAAGAAAAACACCTGTTCAAATGTTTTTAGATTCGTATTTTCATAACAATTTTGATGACATAATTTTGTTCTACAATTAAATACAAGGTTATATATGTCTTACAATTCACCAGTTATTTGACACTAATTTATAACCATAAATATTACCATTCTAATCAACTTTTCACACTATATTTATCCCATTTCTAAAGTAACTTAATTATTTGATTTTTAAACGTGTATATACAAAGTGTACACATATGTATATATATGTGACACATACATCAACTGTAAAACTGAAAATTATTCAAATATAAGCTTCCTTTTGAAAATCTTAATTTCATAAAAAACTGTTTCAAATCTGCATTTCTTTTTGAATAGAGCCTTAGTCTTAACATTTCTATCCCAGAACAAAGTACTATGTCAAACTGTATTACAAAATAAGTTTTTGCAATGAAGTCCTACAAATAATTTCAAGTTTTGCCTAACTTCTATTCCCCATAGCCCTCAACCCCACCTAGATCATAATTGTAAATCATACAATTATTTAAAACAAGTTGCAATTCAAGGGGAATACATTATTCAAAAGAGTACATTTAAAGTAATTTTCTAGAATCTCGTGGAATAAGGTTAGCTGGATAAATCATGTGTCTATATTTAGCTTAGATTAAATTTTAAACAATTTTTTCTAACAATAGCTGTTACAGAATTTATAGTAAAAGAGGCATCTCACAGTATTCATGCAAAGGTATCTCATTTGCTCTGCCTGAATTGTGCTTGGGGTCCTGTTTAACATTTTAAAATAAGTGAGATTCATCACCCATGGTCTAACTCTCCTTCTCAGGATGAATCCCCTCCAGCCATCTCAGCATTTCTAAGTGGCTTCAATCTGCATTTAACAGGTTTCTCATTTAGAAATGGAAGTATGAGAGCTATTATTGTGTTCACAATATAAAGGCTAATTATAATATATGATTACATTGATTATATCCTACAATAATTTTAAAGCCCCAAATATAAAAACCTGTCCTTTTAGAGCATCATCTTAATTAAGCATATTCTGTTGCCTTCATAAAACTCTTCATAAAATTCTGTCGCCTCGTCTAAGAAACACAATAGCATAACTCTGGATGCTACTCAAATATTATTGCCATCTGTAAAGTTAAATAGTGACTTGAAAGTCAGATCAAGGCCAGGCACGGTGGCTCACGCCTGTAATCCCAGCACTTTGGGAGGCCGAGGCGGGTGGATCACGAGGTCAGGAGATCAAGGCCATGCTGGCTAACACGGTGAAACCCGTCTCTACTAAAAATACAAAAAATAGCTGGGCGTGGTGGCGGGCGCCTGTAGTCCCAGCTACTCAGGAGGCTGAGGCAGGAGAATGGCGTGAACCCGGGAGGCGGAGCTTGCAGTGAGCCGAGATTGCACCACTGCACTCCAGCCTGGGCAACAGAGCGAAATTCTGTCTCAAAAAAAACCAACCAAAAAAAAGAAAGTCAGATCAATCTTATTATAATATATAATTCTACAAAAATATCAGTCTGGAAGAATAAGCTTTATTTTTTAATTCATAAATTAGATAATGCTTCTACAAGGGCAAAAAGTTATATTGCTCTAAGTTTACAAACTTTTGAATTATTAAAATATAGCTTAAAAGACTGTTGAAGGACAAAAAAAAGTTTTTTTATTTTACTACAAAAGTGGAGTAGGGAAATCACTGTTTTTCTAATCAGGCTAAAAGCCACAGCAGGGACAATAATTCAGGCAAGAGAGTTTATCTGAAGGAACAGCTCCCTGATTAGAGCACTAGTGATAAATCAACCACACCATGTTCTCCAGTGGAGCACCCTGTTTGAGCCACTCCAACAAATGGAAACCCCATTAGGCTTGAAGTGCTAGTGAATGGTACAATGAAAGGGAATTTAGTAATCTACAGAGGTTAAGGTGTATGCAAATATTTCATTTCTTTTTTCTTAAGCTTTTTAAAATAGTTTCTTTCTGGAAGTTTTCAACAAAGGATTTAAAGTTTATTCAAACACACCACAGTATTTGATTTTAAATATTTATAAAGTTATTGTTTTTAATATAGGTGATTGGCAGTACAAATCCTCATGCTTTGAACAGTTTTTTTCAAAAGAATCCAAATGGTCTTCTAACAGGAAATGTAAAATTTATCATAGAAAAACTTTTTGCTGGGCTAAAAAAAAAAAGTCAGGCCATCCCTACACATTTAAATGAAAGTTAAAAATCAGGAAATTAACCAGTTAGTTATCGCATCATTTCTCTGGAGGACTCTACTTTTTTTCCCCCAAACCTTCTTGACAAATTGTTTTATTTTGTATACACATGGCCAAGGAAGAAAAAAATGAGAAAAAACAAAAAGCTTTCTTTTTGTCACTTTGAGGTAGATTTTGTAAGAAACAAGGAGATGTATCTCAATTTATAGCCGTTTTTATTATGAAATAAAGATGAAAATGACTCACTTAATTTTGATATTATAATAAAATGCTTGATATTGGCAATTGAGTTATTATTTTTCCCTAACAAAATTGTGTTTTAACTTCTCATCGATTTAAAGCTATCCATCAAGAATGAAGTCAAATTGTCAAATGTCGTGTTGCAGAGGAGATGCCCCTAAAAGAAGGTCTGATGTAAGACCCTCCGCCCTCAACCATCTCTTCATCTACCTAATGCAGAACCCACAATTTTCATCATCGGCCTCACTCCTGACTCATGTCCTTAATGATACATGTATGATTTAATTCAGAAAAGACAGAAGTGCTCAGGGTGAAATAAATGCTTGATAGAAATGTGGTTACTGTATTTATATATGAGAAAGTAAAGCTTTAAAAACTTGAAGTAAGACAGGAAATGAGAAAAGTTAATTTAGGGAAAGATGTACGCATAGGCAGCTCCTGGTCCATCAAAGACAGAATGAGAAAATTGGACACTGAAAGTGAAAATGGCAGGGTTATTAGAGGAGAAAATTTACACTGGAGATAAACTTTTCCTTCTTCAAAATGGCTGCAGTTTGCTTTCCACTGTATGAAGTAACAGTGAATTCATGACTGAATATAAATGAAAGCCCATTAGAAAGAACTGACAGTGACTTACTACAGACTATACTCCCCTATGATGGAAGCTTTGAACATAATTTCTTTTTTTTTCCAGCCTATCACTATAATCTTGTCATTCAGTTATCAATTTTGTTATTAAACAAGTTAGAAAATTAAAATCCAGAAACATTAAAACTTTAAATTTTTCACTTAGTAGGAGCAGATGCAGATCTTTCTGACTCCAAAGCCCATATATACATTTTAATATAATATGAAGATAGGCAACTGACTGCAGTGGATATATCAGTTTCTTCTTGCCCTGCATTAATTCTGTCATCTGATAATTGCAACTTAATTTTCTTTTGATGAATCCACCTCCTCATGCATGAGTTTTTGCAGCACTTGTAGCATTCTCTAGCGTCCCTGAGTCAAGGTTGTGGTGTAAGGAGGGACACCACAGTGAGTGGTAACATAAAAAGGCAAAAATGTTGTCCTAGTTTGGATGCTAAATTGGGTAATAAATTCTAGTGTGGAATGAAATTCAAGATAATTGTCAGCTATGAGTAGGACTTAGAAGCCAAGCCAGCCTCAATGGTAACAAGGAGTACATGCAATAGTCTCTTCTAGAAGTTGTCCCTGCCTTGCTAGCGATCTTTCTAGGTTGTTTAGTTTCTAGGTCTATTAGGGAAGTTCATGAAATAAATGCTTATTGGATGGACAGTATCACAATCCCTACAAGGACTATGGGCTCAGTTAGTGGTGTAAATCTCCCTAGAGGAGGAGCAAGACGGTGATGTGCATAACAGAACAGGCTTTGAAATCAGTCTTTGAACTGGTTTCATGATGGGATAAAATTTGGGGGATATTTTTCTTAGGAAGTGATAAATATATTTTATATGCATACAGAAGATAGGGAGTGAATATTTGTGGCCGAGTTTGAGCAGCATCGTATCTTATATTATCATTTGTAATTATTTGCTCTTATCTTCCCTGTGAGAGGTTTATCCATTTCCACTCATTGCCAGGTGCTTGCAATGCCTTTCCATAGAAAAAAAATATTTTTTTGTGAGCACCATTGAAAGGCTGTGCATGAGAATTGCTTTGGTCAATAAAATGTGAGTGTAACTGATGTATATCTGGTTTTGATCAGGTTTTGAGATTCATCAGTTGATGTTTCTGCTAGATCTCTTGTTTTTGTTGTTGTTTTCCCCTTTGTTACTAAAATGATATGTCCCAAATAGAAGTAGATCTCTCAGCTTGAATTCTGAAATGAAGGCACATGAAGTAGAGCCTCACACAACCCCGTGAAATTGCAGTCAAATATAACTCAAATGTAACTCACATGGACATAACCAACTTGGAGGAATTTTTAAAAAATTAGGTTATGATTTTCAGCAAAAATGCTGCTGGTAATTTATATATAGGAATAAAAAATTCCATACAATAAAATGAAGAGTGATCCTCAGCTCATTTTTGGCAGTAGTACGCATATAAATCATCAGATAATAAACCAATAAAATATATGAGTACAATTTCTTAAATTTCAAAGGATTATTTTATGACTTGTCGAATTCTTATGAAAGCCTCAAAAGAGTTATTTTAGATTGTTCTCCATTTTTCATACACATGAATGGACTTTCTTTCCCCTTGTTCTTCATGGATACAATTTCTAGGAATTAGGAGGTCTTAGAATGCATGGGAATAACATTTTTAGCTGCCTGTTTTATTAGTATAGGTAATAGGTCACCATAATAATGCCACCAATGAAGAATAAATAGATATTGACTGGGTTTGTATTCATAAAATATTGGTTTATATTTGAGAAAGATTTTTCAACTGTTTGCATAAACTTCCTGAAAAGTCTTTTCTAAAGATCTTATTGGCCAATTTTTCTCAAATTTTATGAAATCCAAAGAGCACACTTTGAATAGCATGGTTACAGATAACAGGTTAAAAAAAGCATGTTACATCAATTAAAGTTCTGCATCAACCAGAAAAATAATACATCCAATTTCAGGTTGTAATGACTGTCAAGGAAGTAGATAATGTAAAGTAGAGAATAAAAACAATAAACAAAAACTGTAAATTTACCCTTCCTTCTTTTGTCAGAAAAATGGTATATCTACAAAATTTAACATGTCCATTCAAAGACAAATCTGAGAGCCATATGTAAATGTTTTGTTTTTTTAATAAATTGTAGAAAAATTATTCTTCATAAAAATATGGAATTGATAATTTTTAAGTAAAATCCACATGAATAAATGGCTACATTTTATTCTCTTGACTACACTTGGGTAATGTAACACGGAGAACAAAATAAATTTTATGTACAAGTTTCACAAAACAAAAACTCAACAACTCAACGATTTTTTTCTCCCCTTTCAATGATATGAATGTTCTCGATAAAACTGACTCATGGCTCAAATCATTTAGGTAATTCTTTACACTTTTCATTTTTTCAGTAGTGCTTTTTTGACTACTGAAGACCAATATGCTTAGCTATACTTTCAACCCTCTGTGATCACCTATCCTTGATTTCCAGCAGAAGTGTGTTTACCATGAAGTGAATGAATCTTGGTTGCAGGTCCCATCAGACCGTGGTCGCAGGTCCCCTTCTGTGGTCCTAAGGAGGAGCTCTTGTTTTGTGTTCACATGATCATATATTACTTATAAGATGCACAAAATTCAGATATTTTAATGACCATTGGTTCAGGCACTGTCTCTTTCCACACTGACTCTCATCCATCTCACTTCCACTCAAGTTCAATGTCAGTTAAGAAGTGGCTAAAGACATTTTCTTCTTTCAATATTGCATTCTTCTTTTAAAGAGGCCCCAAAATTATGTAAGACCACTGCTCCATGAAATCTGAATTTTACTTCTGATCTCCATCCATAGCTACGATTATTTCTGTATTCCATCCAAATTGAGATAATGCTCTTTGAATAAAACCTACCTCTTTGCTTTTATACAGATAGTTAAATTCCAGTATTGTCTAAGATCCAAATCAAAAGTTAAATTCCGCTTCAAATATATTCACCATGCCCCAAATTAAAATAAAAATATCCTTCTTGGACATTTTCCCCATACCCCTCCATATTAGTTTCTTCATAGATTTTGTCTAATTACAATATTATGTATCCTCTGAAGAAAATATTTTAGCATAATTAATTAGGTCGTTCTTCATAGCACCATAGAGTGTGATTATTAAGAAAATAAGTTAATATAAGAAGAGGACTATATACTGAGCCTAGGACACTCCAATGTTAAAAAGTTATGAACGAAAAGCTTCCTAGAGTAAAAACACCATAGAGTAACTGACATGTTACTTACTCAATAAATATTTGCTTAAAAAATCAAAATAACAAATCTATTTTTATTGGCTTGACTTTGCCAACAATCTGAGGTACCTGGAAAATCTCTCCTTAGCTGAGCCTCTAGATGAGAGTTCAGCCAGCTGATACCTTGAGAGAGAACCCAGCTAAAACATAGTGGACTTTACCTACAGAAACTCTGAGGTGATAAATTATCTCATGGCTATTTGTGGTAATTTGTTACATAACACTATATAGAAGAGTAATATACATTATTTCACAAAGCAGCCCAATTCGACATAGTTTATTATTCTCTCATCAATCATACACTTATTTTCCATTTGGCTTCTACCAAACTCCCTTGATCTTCTTTCCACTTCCCTAGCTATTTCTTCTTAAACCACTTGAATGAATCTTCCTTTTCTTTCATGACTTTTTAATATTGGAGTGTCCTAGGCTCAGTATATAGTCCTCTTCTCATATTAACTTAGTTCCTTAATCATCACACTCAGTTTCGTATTTTAAAAAAGTACTCTGTCTACAGTAGTGGCTCCCCAAGATTTATCTCTAGCCTAAACATTGCTTTTTAACACTAGTCTTATATCCAACAACCTTCTTAACAATCCTAATAGTTGTTTCAGATGCAACCAGGAACTGCACTCAGGGTCTTTTTCACTAACCCACAGTTTTTCCTACTTCATCGTTGGTCCATTTTTCCAGGTGCTTGGGTAGAAAATTTTGAAGTCCTCCTTGATTCCTATCTTCTCCAAGTTCAGTAAATAAGCAAATGTTATTAGCTCTACATTCAACATATATATATATAGACTATATATTTCTCATTGTCTCCACTGTGACCCCTTTTTCCATGGATGACTGTATCAACTTCCTAATGCAGTCTATGCTTCTGTCCTGTCCTCTTCATAGCCTATTTTCAAAAGAGCATCTCCAATAATTCTTTCAAAAGGAAGTTGGATTATGCTACTCATATGCTCAAACCATTCAGCAGTTCCCAATTTTACCCAAAAGCCAAAGTCTTTACAATGGCACACAGTATGCTTGCTAAGTGGCAATCATGGTCTGAGTGAAGTTACACACAAAAATATTTAAGGGCACCAATCTTAATGGTTGTGTAATTTTCTCAACAAATTAATAATAAAATAGCAGATTAGACTATTTTGTATTGATCTATGATTGGGATTTTGCAGGGATGCTGAAGAAAAGCAAAGGAATGCAGAAACTGAAATCAGCAACAAAAGAGAAGGAATAAATGTGCTACGTTCTAGTTGGATGGGAGAGTCAGGAGGAATTAAATTGTGCAGGAAAGCTGGGTGCAGTGGCTCATGCCTATAATCCCAGTCCTTTAAGAGGCCTAGGTGGGAGGATTGCTTTTGGGCCTAGGAGTTTGAGACCAGCCTGGGAAATAGAGTGGGACTCTGTCTCTACAAAAAATAAAAAACAAATATAAAAATTAGTCAGGCGTAGTGGTGCATGCCTGTGGTCCCAGCTACTTGGGAAGCTGAGGTGCGAGTATTGCTCCAGCTTGGGAGATTGAGGCTGCAGCGTGCTGTGATTATGCCACTGCATACTAGCCTGCATGACAGAGTGAGACCCTGTCTTAAAAAAAGGAAAAAATGTGAAAGAACCCAAAAGTCAAGGATGGCGCAAAGAGGAGGAGTGGATAAGGAGTAATAAAGTAGTACATGAAGGAAAGGGAGACATGATAAAGAAATGAGATTTTCAGTTATAAGATTTTAGAGTCAATAAGGGAAAGGATATGCTATTATGAGTAGGATTTGAAGTAGCTGTATTTGGGCCATTATAAAAACTAATTATATTGAGTTTCGAGCTACAGTTAACTTTCTGTTGGTAACCTGGGATTTAGCTATCACATTTCTATACCTGCTAACTTCATACAAAAAAAGAAAATATTAAATTGTTGAAGCCTGACAAGTAGTAATAACAATTGGTGAGCTCCCAAAATAAAATATATGCTAAGCAAGACACTTTTTTTGTTAGTTTTATATTTGCTATTTTCAGTTTTCTTTTTCTTTGAAACAGAGTCCCACTCTGTCGCCCAGGCTAGAGTGCATGGCATGATCTCGGGTCACTGCAGCCTCCCCATCCCGGGTTCAAGCAATTCTTCTGCCTCAGCCTCTCAAGCAGCTGGGATTACAGGTGCCCGCCACCACGCCCAACTAATTTTTGTATTTTTAGTAGAGACAGGGTTTCATCAGGTTGGCCAGGCTGGTCTCAAACTCCTGACCTCAAGTGATCCACCCACCTCAGCCTCCCAAAGTGCTGGGATTACAGGCGTAAGCCACTGCGCCCAGCCTCAGTTTTACTTTTCTTGGCCAACAAGATGACTCGAGCATCCAGATGTAAGTGGATAGAAAGACAAGAGTAGAGAAGCAAAGAGAGAGAATGAAGGGAAAGGTAACACAGGTTTAAAGAGCACTGACAGACCAGCACAGCATACAGTGCCCAGCACAGCTTCTGCTCATGAGGGAACTTAAGTAGAACCATCTAGAGTGGAGAGAAGCCATATAAGATGGCAGGGTTTCTATTAATATTATTTTTAATTGACAAGTCATAATGCATATGTTTTTGAGACACAATGCGATGTTCTGATAAATGTACACAATGTATCAAATGTTTAAATCAAGCTAATCAACGTATCCATCCCCTCATTACCCATTTTTGTGGTGAGACATTTAAAAGTGACTCTTGGCAATTCTGAAATATATAATACATTATCATTAACTGTGGTCACCCTGATGTGCAACAGATCTCAAAAATGTATTCCTCCTGTCTAGCTGAAATTTTGTACTCTTTGACCAACATCTCCCCATTAATATGTTGTTTTTATATACGCAGATTAAAGTCTAAGATAATGTTATTTCATTACTCAAGTGTCTTTTCAGGGCTAGAGTTGTCTTCTGAAAAAAGAAAATCCAATCTGCCCAGTTCATGATCATGTGGAATATTTCTAAAGGCCTGACCACCAGCACATCTGTCCTCTTGCTGGCTTTTAGATCAGTAGACCACAGTGTAATAAATCCTTCAAGACTAAAGCTTGCCGGGTTAATCTACGGCAATGCAGTGTGTCACCATAGAATATAAGTTTACTAACATATTATAGGACTCTTTAGAGGTTAAGGAAAACTGGATTCCTTCAAGTCATCATCCAGAGGAAGATTTATTCTTGGTGCAGTAGAACTTACATGACTGCACTTTTCTTAGTCATAATCAGGAACACTCAAGTTTAGTTTTATCATGCTTTCATGCTTTCCAATTTCAAAAGGCTCACATGATAATGGGTCAGTTAACTTATCTTTTTAATCTTTTGTCACATATGTGAATAAAATAGCTTCCAGAGTAACTTCTTCAAAAGCAAAGCATTTTATTTCAAAGACTTGGAATAAATCATAAAATTCAATGACCCTTGTTTGAAAAGTGAGTGTTAATGATAAATTTGGATATTGTTAATGAGCCCCATTTTAAGTTCTAGGAGTTTTAGTCAGAAGCTTATTTTCCTTCCAGAGTTGGATTAGATACAGCCTATATGTGTGAAACATTCTGATGAAGTCGGTTACTAAAAACATAAAGTTGGTAATAAATTAACTATACAGTAATAAGAGTACTTTATTTTGATAGAATCGTGGTATAAGAAATTCTGTAGTATATAACAAATCAATAAAAAAGTCACTATAGATGATTTAATATGTACTAAATATAAATTTAAAATTAGACTTACTGTGCTTTCTTTTGTTTTTTTAAATTTCTATGGTAGTCGTGAAAATGATTTTATCGGAGCATGAAGAGAAAAATACTTATAATCTTTCCCAAAGATACATGTGCAAAATATTCTGCAGTAATCAGAAATTATAACATAAAGGATTTAATCAAGCTACAGTACTAGTAGTTTAGCATTCATCGAACAAGTGGACTTTGATTTTTAACTATCTGATCAGCAAATTTGAAACTGAAAAATTCAAGAGAAAAGAATAAGAAGACCACATAACTCTACAAAGTCAGAGAACTTTTCCCCAGAGTGTGAGAAGCTTCCCTACAGAATTCTGCTATGCTGATTCTATAGTAGCGGTTTACAAGCTCTTTTTTTTTTAATTTTTTTTTACATATACATCCATATAAATGGCTCATGCTTAATGTTTAAATAACAATAATAAAGCACTCACCTATGTTCCTATCAGAGTTTAAGAAATGAGAGCAATGGTTTAAAGCCTCAGTTACTCCTTCACAAATGCACCTTCAGCTCTCTCCCAACTTGTATACTAACTCTGCATGTATAACTCTTTCTTTTCTTTACATACAATAGTCTTAGCAGCCGAGTGCAGTGGCCCATGCCTGTAATCCCAGCATTTGGGGAGGTCGAGGCAGGTAGATGTCTTGAGCCCAGAAGTTCCAGAACAGCCTGGCCAACATGGCAAATCTCTGTGTCTATACAAAATACGAAAAATTCACCAGGTGTGGTGGTACACTACTACAGTGTCAGCTAGGCAGAAGGCTGAGGTGGGAGGATCGCCTAAGCCTGACTGAGAAGGTCAAGGCTGCAGTGAGCCGACACGGTGCCACTGCACTCCACTCTAGGTAACAGAGCAAGACTCTGTCTCAAAAACAAACAAACAAAACAAAACAAACAGTAGTCTTAGCAATTTGCAATGTGAAATGTATTGTATCACAGAAGGTATACAACATATATGTTATAAAATTTATGTGTTTATAAGCAATATACACATGCTGTTTACATAAATAAAATACATATTTACACACAATTAAGCACTGAAATTATTTAGAAATAAGGAAATAAACTCAGAAAGGCTAAGTATAATAACCTAATTATATTTATCTAATATTAAAAGAGGACTTGAACCCAATTCTTCTGACACTAAATCCGGGGCTCTTAGCAAAAATTTAATGATACGTGTGTATAGGTTATCTTGGTAAATAAATACTTGATAAAATTTCACTAAAAATTCACTAAAATTTTTTATATAAATTTTTGCATTATAAAACACACAACATAGTGTTACATATCTATGCAAATTTTTTTTTCTTTCAGACTGTGAAGAATGCTTGGTACGTGTCTAAATTTAGGCACCTCTTGCCATAAATCCAAAGACCCCCTCAAATTCCTTGACCTTAAAGTAGGGAACATGATTAGTTTAGAGTCTAATCACTTCAGTTTTGAGTTACTCTGTATTATAATGCAGTAGTTAATTTGCTCTATTTATAAAAGACATCAATCCTTTGAGAAGACAATCTCTTTATAGTAATATTCAAACTGGAATGTCAAATTCTGTTTCATATGTGAGATATTATCTTTCCAAAAAACCATATGAATGCATAAATCAGAAAATCTCACACCTAACCAAGAAAAGAGATTATGGTCAGATTTCTGCTTAGTGCTCTCAGGAAGTCTTTCATTCTGCTCTGGGAAAAACACTAGGTCTCCTTATTATTGGATACTTTCTGTAGTGCAATATTCTCTTATAACAGGCAGTCACAAGACAATAAAGAAAATAAAGATATTTGAACAATTAATACGTAGTAATACTATGCTGACAAGAATTAGAGAAAGTGGGAAGACAGCCTCCAGAAAGAAAAATGATTTTATGAATAAGCAAGTGAGGTATAATGAAATTATTACCTAGGCTATATGCATACATGCAAATTTTAGAATTATGCAAATGCACACTCATGTTTACTAAACCTAAGACTACTGTTTTACTGATCTGATCTGAATGATCTGTGAATTTGCCTTAGTCCACACTGTATTGATTTCATTGTTACACATTATCTTGGAAGGGCCATATAGCAGGGCATGTTAATGTTCTGCTCTTAATTCCTCAACGCATCTAGTTCATCTATTGCTGCTTTAGTAAGGTTTATAGGTTTCCCTTAAGCTGACAGCTTCTGTCTTAAGTACCTTTGCCTCTTGTCTCTTCCTGAGGATATTCTTCAGCACCAGGAAACCATGATAACACCTCCACAAGCAACCTTAAGCCAATGGGGTTGTGATGTTGTTAGTGGATAAACGCCCAGCCTTCTTTTTCCTTCCCCTTCCTCACCTTAGTGGGGTGATTCTAAGACACATTCCACATGGGTTTTTGCAGAGTCGCCAGCAAGGCTGAGGTCCATTTCCCTCAATAATAACCCAATCAGTAACACTCTCCTTATCTTATTTCTCTTGCAGGTTTTACATTCTTGTTTTCCACTGTAATGCATCCCAGGTGAATCTTGCTCTTAATAATCTACCTGCAATCAAACCCCTGTATTACAGTCTGCTTTTGTGGAACTCAGACTAAGACATTCTCATTGCAGTTGCCATCATCATCATCATCATCATCATCATTTTCACCTTCATTTTCATAAGAAACACAGATTAAGTATGTCCTATGTACCAAACACGGTTCTAACTACTTGAGATTTATTAACACATTTAATCTTCTCTAAAATTTTTTGAAATAGCTATTATTGTCATCGTTAGTTTAAAGATAAGAAAACCAAAGTGAAGTACAAAACAATTAAATATATAGTCGAAGCTGTGACACCAGAATTTGCACTCAACCAATGTGGTATACAAATTAAAGCTTTACTTTCTTTGTAGGTACATCTGCATAGTTTGTAAGATGATCTAAAACCATGGCTTTTTCCTTAAAACATGTTGATGCATACATTTTTGTCAATCTTCACAGTTAGACTCACTTTGGTCTTCACTCAAGGGAACCCAAACAGACATTTCTGCTGTACCTTTCCAACACTTCAAGTTCATGTGTGCACAAACCCTATAAGACCTGGGGATGACAGGTGTTTCCTGAGATGATCAGTCACATTTCATATATTGGACTGATAAGCAGATCACTCAACAAAGAAAGCCCAACTTGAATATGTTTTAAGATCCTAGCTTCAGGTAGGTCTTGATAGGTCCCATATGCTTGTCATTTGGTAAATTTATTAAAATAGCCCATTTTGGAAAGTAATGCCATGGCAGAAATTGATTACTTTCTATTCTTAGCCAAGCTTTTGACTTCTTGAACAGCATCAGTGATGAAGTGCACATTTAGTAAGTAACATGTAGTTTACTAATGACTCAGTATTTACGTATGTAGCAATATTAAAATATTGCATTATCATGTATCATAATACATACAAAATCTGTATATATTTGTATGCAGATATACTTACTTATTCTAACTGTAAGAATATATTTATTGCCTCTGCCTTTTTTCCCATCTCTCCCTGTGAATGCTGGTTTTTGAAAGCCATTAAAAAACAAAAATCAAAAACAAAAATAAAAAAACCACTACACTTTGAAAATGTTAAGATGAGAACTAGATTCATTGAAAGAGTACAGATTCTGATATTGCTCAGGGCACAAAAAAATGAAGTTTCGAAATTAAAGAAAAGCTAAAGAAGTAAAAATTTGTCATGGTTTGAGGTATTAAGACATTGACGTTCACATGTATATTTGGTGGTTTATTCAATGCCAAAATGAATGTTCACTGTCAGGGAGATTCTTCGAGTGATACATAACTGTTGGCTTAGTTTGCTGCTCTGTAAACATTATAACTCTCCCAGATGGGAAAATGTGCTAAAGTATATATTTCCACATATCTAAGTCTGTATTTTTTCCTTTGAATACCAAATATTTTAAGAATTTATATGTATCACAGAGATAGAAGGTGACTTGAGTGTTAAAAAAATAGATTATTTATTCCATATATTCTGAATCTTCCAACAAATGGAATATTTTTAGTAGATAACATCTAAATTATTATCTCTCAGATGAACAACACTTCATAATAGGTGGCTAGACACATATATATTTAAAACATGAAGCTCTACATCTAGATAAAGAAATATTTTGACACTTTTATGCATTTTCCTTTTATAATTAATATTTATAACAATTTATATAAAGTGATGTAAATTACTCCATGGATGTCATGCACCTTTATTTGTATATTTATATATAATAGAATTGCTATCTAAATGTAATATCTCCATTAGTCTCTTTCAGTGCCACTATTTGTTCTGTTTTATATGGTAAAGATAAAAAAGATTATTTACTTGATAATTTATCTTTTTGAATTTTTATATTCTAATCTTAAATTGATGGATATTGACATCTTGAATTGCTTCCCACCTGCATTATGACAAAACTATGTTTAAAGCCAAGATATTAAATAGGATGTGCTAGCAATAAGTGGCAATATTTATATATTTCTTACTTTGCTTGCATTGGATTCAAGTTTTAAATAAAACTATTTTTGTCACAAAATGTAACATTTAGAGATGCTTATTTTGCAGTGCGTATGTGTTTTATTGATACCTTTCTAAAATTATACAGAATTGCACTTAGAATGCAAACATTTTAAGTTAAAAATTTTCCAAAAGGCAAAAGAGATTAGATAATTAAAATCAAAGTGAAAAGTGATTATTACTTTTATAAATGTGTTTATTACCCATAATGGAAAAGCTCATTATACGTCTGTATTATTATCTATGAACTTATCTAACTCCAGCAATTATTCTGTAGCTATCAATTTATTGATCTAAATTATAATTTATTATGAAGGGGGTAAAGCTGGCTTACTGTCCTCTGGGTTTCTAATTTAAACCTTTGAAAAAGTGTGCCCAGTCAGACTGGAAATAACATCATAAAAAAGCAAAAACACAACTTTATTATTATTATTATTTTCTTTTCCTTCCTTCCTTCCTTCTTTCCTTCCTTTTTTTGAGACGGAGTCCTGCTCTGTCATCTAGACTGGAGGGCAGAGGCAAGATCTCGGCTTACTGCAACCTCTGCATCCCAGATTCAAGCGATTCTCCTGTCTCAGCCTCCCAAGTAGCTGGGATCACAGGCGCCCGCCACCATACCCAGCTAATTTTTGTATTTTTTGTAGAGACAGGGTTTCACCATGTTGGCCAGTCTGTTCTTGAACTCCTGACCTCAAGTGATCTACCCACCTTGGCCTCCCAAAGTGCTGGGATTACAGGCATGAACCACCACACCTGGCCAACTCAGTGATTTTTTTTTTTTTTTTCTAAAATTGAAGCTGTAGAGTGTAAAACAGGCCAAGGCCTAGACTTTTTTTAAATCCTCTCCTTAGTTAATAGAGACTATTTATGCTAGGTTCGATTACAGAGTAGCTCAACATATTGTAATACACACAGGTCTCTATTAATATGTAATTGGTGATTTTAGTTTTAAACACGAGTGTTTTAGCTTTGAGAACATGAGTTCTCCAATACATTTGGAATATTTATAGAGAATTTTTATTTAAATTGATTATCCATGTTGTTTCTGCTTCTCCCTTGTTTATTTTATATACAGGAACAAAACTCTACTCAAACTCACAGAAATAGTACAGTTCATGACTTCAGTCGCAAGGCTATTCATCTTTTTTGCACTATATTTTTTAGTTTAAAAATTGTATAGTAAGCATCAAATATTGAGTACTTTATTTTAGGCACTGCTGAAAAATAATGCTGAAAACTGATTAATATTTCACTTAATATTTCTATTTTATTATTTGTTTTCAATTTGATTTATATTTATAAACCTAAAAACAGGTATTATAAATAGTTGGTGCTGGATTTGTTTATAAGCTCATTTATCTTTCAAAAAGCATAATTCTATACAATATAAGCTACTTAAGTTGTAATGATATAAGCTATTTAAATTGTAATTATCTAATATTTCTATTCAAAATGAAATTATCTTAGGGAAGAAACTGATGTTTAATAGCAAGCTATAATGCAGTATGAAAAATGCTATAATACAAATGCCAATATCTAAATTTAATAAAAATGAGTCTTAAATTTATTGAAACTCATAAAAGCATGTAGGAAGAGAACTGTAGGGAAAATACCAGAAAATTATCCAAAATAATATAAGTAATTTTTAAAAAGAAATTATATATTCAATACACGTTTAATGAAGGTATGTATTTGCCACCTATAAAACTCTCCAGAAATACTTGTTTGTCACTCATATCATTTCTGAAGCTAATTTCCAAATTTAAGCTGAGCCTTGTTAGATTTTCCTTCTTACAATCCCCCTAAGTAAAACCATGTAAACTTTTTAGGCAAGACTTACATATATAATTTTGTATTTAAATTTCTAATTTTGAGAACTTTAAGTTTAAAATATGTTTTGCTTTGAAGAAGTCATCTGTTTCTATTGTGTATTTGTCATGTAAATTTTAATTCTTTACATTATCAGAAGTGTTTGCATTGGAAATAATTAGGGCCTAAGAAATGGAGAGCTGAAAGATGGAAAACTTGGCAGTGTGCTGATTGCCACAAAATGCTCAAGTTATTTTCGAATGCTTTGCATACAGAAATATTTTCAAGAAAACTTGCAAACAATTTGTCTCTAAACTGTGCCAATCTGCAATATGTAGGAAGAAAAAGAAATGTAGTAAATATGATCCCTTAAACCCTCTGTGGCTATTGAACACTATCAATGAGCCCACAAACTAAAAATAAACACTTAGCTCAGGCAACATTTTCTGTTGACTTTATTTTACCCAGTCCTAATTAAATACAGTTCTATTTTAGTTTCTTGTGTTCCAAACTAATGTGTATTTATATTCTACTTTTAAGATAAAGTGTTTCAGAATATTAGAATATTAAAGGTAGTCAATGGTGAAAGAAGGTTGCAAAAAAAGAAGAAACCTTCAAAATATGTAGTTTTACACATATAAAAAATGTAGTCATATTTTTTCCTATGGACCTTTTAGTAGAATGAGCTTTTTAGGGTTTATAAAAGTATAAATTTTTCAAAAAATTAAATCAAAATAAAAAATAAACTTATCTGTATGGTTTCAATCAGTATACTCTAGACTTATAGAAAGTCTCTGGTGTTCCAAAAATACTATGAAAGCTACTTCTTTGAAGTGGGAAATCATATTTCTATAGCAATAAGTCAAACTTGAACTTTAAGTGTTAAATTCACCACAATACTTAGAACTTATATACTGTTTCCCTATCTTAACTAAAATTTGAATTTGAATTGAATAATAATAAGTAGAAACATATGCATTTTTAAATACCATTTTCAGAAACATACATTAGGGAGCATAAAACCCATAAACATTGCTTAGATGTCTCCAATAGAGTAAGTGTGTATTAATAGGTAATATAACACATATATAGGATAATGTAAATAGGGCAAAACATGCTTAATGAATAAACAAAATTGACCATTTTATGGATAAATCATGTCAAATGATTTACCCCACAGAAATATGGTGGCAATTAATCAGTGATGGAATAATGCTCTAGGAGAAAGAGTATAATTTAACAATATAAATTGTCATTCTGTTATTACTTATAACCTTTTCTCATTGTTTTAATGCCATTTACTTAATTCTCTTTGTGTGATTTCTCTCATCCAACCTACATGTTCCAATTTCATAGTCAATGCAGAACTTTGATCACTCTCTTCTAAATATACTCCAACCCATGTTTACTGAACATTACGTACATCATGGACTTTACTAGGATTTGTGAATGTCACCCCATTACTGAAGCAATTACAATATAGCTGTGGAAAGAGATGACCACAGGAGTTTAATGTTTTTTGTAGTCATTGTTATGATAAATATGTACAGAGAATGATGGGGGAGATTGTTCTTGGGGAATGAATAAGCTGAATAATGAAAAGTATATAAAAGCTAGAAGAATAAAGAGGACTGGTAGATGAATATTTACACTGGAGGAAACATTTGTAAAGGCATGGGGCTATGAAAAATTATTCCATACAACAAACGTTTGATACATGAGTCACAATTAAGTGGTTATTGAAAAGGATAGGCATAAAATGATGAGACGGTTTTAGCATAAAGACTTGTAGACAATTAAGCTTATTGGAAAAATATCAGGATTCTATGACTGATTAGAGGTGAATGTGAGAGAATAAAATTCTGAAATAAGGACTCAAGTTTTGAGATTGTTATTGAATACGACAAACTGAGATAAAGACTATGGAATAGGAAAGATAGTGTAGAAAGATGGATATTTTGAGTGTCAGTGGCTTATGGGATATCTGATTAGAGGTACCCAGAAACAATAAGGCATATAATTCAGAAACTCTACAATCATGTTTTTGTAGAATCATACATATATATGAGACAGAGTAGTGGACAAATCACAGAGAAACCATGCATACATAACGGAGCATATGGAAGAAAGAGACCTGGATTGCAGCACTGTTTAAAGTCAGAGGACTGAACGAGAGACCAGCAGAGGATTGTTCCCTTGATTATGGAGTGGAAAGTATTAAGAAGGAAGAAGATGTAAACAGTGCAAAATACATCTGTGATAGCTAGCAAGATAATTGAAGAGTGTTAATAGGATATTATTGGTAAACTGTAGAAGTTTCAGAGTTTGGGAGGCATTTCAGAAAAAAATAATAATAATTAAACAACAACAACAACAAACCAGAATAGTCAGATAAGGGTGAGCTGAGGTGTGGATAAATAATGAAGAAAAAATACTGAGTATAGACTAAAACAAAGTTTGGCTGAAAGGAAGAGTGAAAATGAGAAGCTGCTCAAACTGAAAAGGAAACTCTCCCCATCCCAAAGTTTTGTTGTTTTTTTCTAACTTCTCTTTTTCTCTTTCTGTCTTTTATAAAAAGTTCTCGTACCCTTTGCTCTGTTGATCATAATCAATTTCACACTAGAAACTGAAACATTCTTAAAATCATTCATAGGTCTAGAAGTACTCTAGGAAAAAGTAAGTTACCCATTTGTAATTTAAGGGAAATCTTAACCAGTAAACAAACAAAAACACAGAACTACTTTTCTTAATACTGGGGTTTTGTTACATAGAGGACTTCATTATGTTTAAGAAATGGCTCAAAATGTTCCACATTGCAAAGCTTCCATTCTATTTCCATTGCACATGTTAAAGCCTGTTTTTTGAGATGGAGTTTCACTCGTCACCCAGGCTGCAGTGCAATGGCGCAATCTTGGCTCACTGCAACCTCCACCTTCCGGGTTCAAGCGATTCTCCTGCCTCAGCCTCATGAGTACGTTGGGATTACAGGTGTCCACCACCGTGCCCAGCTAATTTTTTTTTTTTTTGTATTTTTAGTAGGGACAGGGTTTCACCATGTTGGTCAGGCTGTTCTCAATCACCTGACTTCAGGCAGGTGATCTACCTGCCTTGGCCTCCCAATGTGCTGGGATTACGGCTCACTTTGAGAGGTGAGGTGTTTTATTTATTTATTTATTTTCCCACAGCATCTTATTTATTTTCTTCAGATTCAGTTTTTCATGTGTGAATTTAATATAAAGATGAGGAGTCCATTTTGCAATCTAAAAACATTTACTTATTATAACTATATTAAAACTTAAATAAACTACAGAAAAAAAACGAGAGAAACATGTATTTATGGAACTGCATGTCAGTCAGGCCGGTTCCCTGCAGAGGGAATTCCCAGCATGACCTCATTCATCTGTGAGGACACAGATAAGTCCCCGTTTAGACACATATTTTCATCTACTACTCCAGCATGGTCAGCCCTCCACTTCTTGATGGTTTCCTTCTGCTATGAATGTGTATGTCCAGTTGTCTGCTTCTTAGAGTAGACATTTACCTTCCTTGTCCACAAGCCATGGGCAAATGACTGATTTGATCCATTCTTTGGGGAGGGTTTCCTGGTGTCCCTCTTCCATCATCATACCTGGAATCAGATGAGTTTCCATAGCTCCTTTGTTAAGCCTCTTTGAAAGTCATCTTAGGAAATAGTCACCAGAGAATGCCCCCAATACAAAAAGAAAAATACAAAATTGATTGCAAAATGCAAATGGAATATTCAGCAAGCACTCAAGAAAATGGTATCTGGAATTCTTGGAACTATCAGCAAGTATTTATGATGTAATAATTCATGCAGTTGCATCCTTTCCAGATATGCACTCTCTGCCACATGTATGCATGTAATTTAGTATTATACATGCAATTTGAACAATTTATTTAGACCAACTTTTACACAATAATTCAATATTCATTGCCCTATTCTTTTTGAGTCTATGGTTTCAGACATGAGTTTTCTTAATTCCCAGAAGAAAGAATCATATGAAGATACAAAGTAGCTAAGAAACTACATTGTACTTTCATATTTATTATATTCTATAAATATCAGTAAGAGCATGCCAAAATAAAACCATATAGAGAGAAGTTGGCAACAACAAGAAAAATTGCATATGTATCTGAGATTTGACTCAGAAGTTCCACTTCCTATTTTCATATTTTGCTCAGGAAAAAAATATAGGAGTATTCATGACAAGCCTATTCATATCCACACTAGTGTAAATGTAGATGAAAAAAGAAAAAAAGAAACCAAGAGTTGCTAATATAAACTATGGAACATGCACACAATAAAGTATGTAAAACTATAAATGGAATGAAAAAAATCTCTGTATATTGCCATGAAAGGATCTCCAGAATACATTGCTAAGAGAAAATAACAAAGTAGAGGAAATTATATATACTTTTCTAGTGTTTATCAAGGAAGAGAGAGGGGAATGATATGGTTTGGCTCTGTGTCCCCAACCAAATCTCATGTTGAATTGCAGTTCCCAATATTGGGGGAGGGACCTGGTGGGAGGTGATTGGATCATGGGGGTGGATTTCCCCCTTGCTGTTCTCATGATAGTGAGTGAGTTCTCACAAGATCTGGTTGTTTAAAAGTGTATAGCACTTCCCTCTTTGCTTTCTCTCTCTGCCTGGCTACCATAGGAAGATGTGCTTCCTTCCCCTTTACCCTTTCACCATGATTGTAAGTTTCCTGAGGCCTCCCAGCCATGCTTCCTGCACAGCCTGTAGAACTGTGAATCAATTAAACCTCTTTTCTTCATAAATTACTCAGTCTCAAGTAGTTCTTTAAGCCAGTGTGAGAACAGACTAGTACAGGGAAGAACTGATTTAAATATACAACAGAATGTATATGATTTGTGTTTCTACACATGTATGCACACACATGTAAATACACACACTATACATATTTGTGTGGACATTTTTCTTATATTTCAAAGGGGAAAAACCATATATTTCCAAATATTTACTTATAAAAGGAGTAAGAGAAAATCAGGTGGAATGTGCTTGGAACAACACTTAGGTTTCTCTGAATATATCTTGTTTTGTACCATACAACTTTAGAAACATGCAAATATTTTGCTTAATTATAAAATAAATTTCAATATATAAAAGGCAATTTTTACAAAAGCAAAATACAACAAATCAATTTGTGTATTAATTTGATTGAATATTTCAGGTTAGTTTAAAATGCAACAATTTGACTTTACATCCCCAGTGGACTACTTTCTTTTATCCTCTAATAGAAAAAAAGAAAGCTACCAAAGAAAAACAAAAACTTTTCCTGTAGTTATATGTTTGGTAATGTTATTGGTACTTTGAGGCTATTGAGTTTGCACTGAGGGATAAATGCAAAAGAAAAAAATTAAACTAATATGTCATGAGAACTGGAAATTTTACTATGAGAGAAAAAAAGACATAGAAGTAGAAAAGTGCAGTTAAGTAAAACTCTGAAATTAACATGGACATATCAGAATAGTCTCAAATGTAACTTAAGAAAAAAAAATGCTTTCCCTAGCTCTGTGCACTGAAAAGGCTAAGAAACAAGAATGAATCTTATAGTAAAACAGTAAGCTTACCTGTGCCCAGGTAATCATTATCTTTCCTTTTTTGTTTGTTCGTTTGTTTTTTGCTGTGTAACAAATTGCTACAAATGACACCACTTAAACTATCACAAATTTACTATCCCCAAATTTCCATGGGCCCAAAGTCTGGCATATTGTATTTAGATTACCTGCTCTTTTCATAAAGCTAAAATGAAGGGGTCCCTGACTGCTTCTCATCTGGAGTCTCAGTAAGGTAAACATCTGCTGCTAAGCTCCATAGGTTGTTAGTAAAATTCAGTTCCTCGCATTCATAGGACCCAGGCCTCTGCTCTCTTAATTGGCTATAGACTGGTGTAAGTCCCCAGGGAATGCTCTCAGACCCTTGCACGGGTGTGAGAATCTCTCTCACGTCGAATCTCCCTTATGTCAAATTCTTCTTATGCTTTGAATTTCTCTTTTGTCCACTTCTGCAACCAAATGGAGAAAACTCTTTGCGTGTAAAGGGCTTGCATGATTAGGTTAGACACACCTGGACAATTTCACTATCTTAAGGTCAACTGCACCAGATAATAAAACCTAATCATCCAAGTAAAACATTGTCTTCACAGTCCTGGGGTTTATGCAGAGAGGGTACATGGGGTGGAAGGTGGGAGTGAATCTTGGAGAACATCTTAGAATCCTGTTTATCACAGTCATTATGCCCATTTTCCACCATAAATGAATATTGGAGAACATCTTAGAATCCTGTTTATTACAATCATTATGCTCATTTTCCACAATAAGGTATGCTAAACAAATTGCTCACTCCAAGTCTATAAGAGTGAATGTACTGGATAAGTCTCTAATGTCTTATTAAATCAGAATCAAGAAAGCTTTCAAATTATACTAGTTATCGAAATTGAGGAATCAACTTTAAAAAGCTCCTACTACCCAAAGATGAAGCAAACTGTGGATCTATAAGAATAAGTACAAACGGTTGAATCATACCAAATATACATGCAATGAGTTTGCCAAATAGCAAAGTCAGAGGGAACAGTCCTCCACAGGACTGCCTTCACTCCAGAAACCAGCTGAAATTTCAGAGGTCAGCAGTTTCACACTTACTTCTGACCAGCCAGCTACAAATCTGGGGGTTCTCATTACCACCCTCACATGTTGGAAAGACTGACAGAACTTACAAAATTGTTATCCTTATGATTACAGTTTCAGTCGAAGGATATAAATCAAAACCAGACAAATGGAGAGAAGCATAGATGAAGTCTGGGAGTGTTACAAACAAGAAGTTTCTGCCATCCTTAAGGTCTCAACCTCCCAGGATATCAGTGTGTGACAATAAGTAGAGTATTGTCAAATACGGAAGCTCGCCTCAGTTTTTCTTGGAGTTGAACCACATACTGCCCATGTGCCTTGCCTTTTTAATCTGCAACCCCTCTTGGAGGTTAATGTTAATATTGTTAGTCTCCAGAACATTGGTGTGTTTCAAATATCCCATCATCTTATATTGTTAGACTACCTGGTGGTCAAAGACCCCAGCAAAAAAGACACTCCTCTCAGGCAGGAAATTTTAGGGGCTTGGAGATCAGCTCCCAGCAGCTGAAGGCAAAAACCAGACTTCTCTTTCAGTAAATTCTTCACTAAACAATATGATAATCCATTAATTCATAATAATGCTTAAAAATAATGGCACACATAATGGTCAAACTTGAAGGATGTCGTGGAACCAATTCATGATTTTTTAAAATAATAAGTAATTGAAAAGAATTAAGCATGTTTTTTGCCTTTCCTATGTGACCTGTAACTCTGAGTAGCAAATTGGTCTATGCTATCATATTAGTGTTACCTAATAAAGATAATATTATATTATCACCATTCCTAATGAATTGATTGATGAAGCCCATGATTTTCAGTGGCTTCTAACATCACAGAAAAAGAAAGAAGGAGACATTATATGTCTCTTGATGACAGTACACAGAAAGTGTGTACTTTCAAAGTACACTTTTCCAAAGTACACTTGGAAATAAAATCTGACTATTAATTTACAGGAGATACATAGAGATGAAAATATTAAATAACACTAAAGAGATGCAATACTCCAAATTCAGAGTATAAAAGTGCAACAGAAAAAATCACCCGCTATTTAAAAAAAAGGAAATAAAAAAGAAAGACGGAATAGGAATCTATAGGTTAAAAAGAATTTAGAGACATATCATCAAGTACAAAGGAGACACATTAATTGTATTCTGACATAAATACTATAGAAAGTAATGAAACATTTATGACAACTTGATGGCTATTTGGTAATATTGAAGTAATTATTGATATGCTTGTTTGGGGTGTGATAATGCTATTCTGATTTCATCTGGGGGAAATGAGAGTATCTTTTCAAATGCTTATTACAATACAGAAAAAAAGATGTAATGTCTGGAATTTGCTTTTATATAATGAAGGAAGAGTGGGCAGAGATATATCTGAAATGACATTGGGGAAGAGTTGATATTTGTGTCATAAGCTGTATGATGAGGTATTCATGTTCATTATACTGTTTTATATATTTTATCCTGCCTTTGAAATTTTTCATAATAAGAAATTTAAAATTTTGAAATTAAAAAATGTATGTCAATTGATTGGAACTTATCCAAATTAGAGCCAATTGGTATAAAAGTAAACACTACAGAAATAGATTGGAAGAAGAATTCAACTCTATGACAGCAATCAGGAGAAAATACCAAGAAATCTTATTCCTTTCTAGTTAGGCTAAACTAATTTATCTCTAACATAAATTTGCTTATTCTTGAATAAAATTAAGTGATTTCATTCAAACAATAGGTTATTGATTGCATTTTTCTAAACCTGCTCTAAATTTAGCAAAAACAATTTCTATTTACATACAGGTTTAATAATGAACCTTGTTACTTATCAATAGGGTAGAATATTTTTCCTCTTTGAATTAATAAATTTGTGTTATAATCTTCAGTGCAAGTTATTGACTTCAGAGGTAGTTCAAATTGTTTTAAATATATATTAAATAGAAAAACTTTAGATATTTAGAAAAGCAGTACAGAGCATCTTCACATTTCCAAAATTTATGATGGGTTTTGAGTGTATGTATGTGGGTTATTTTTGAAGATTATAACATAATTATAAATAATATTTGTATTATTTGGAAATTTTATGTATCAATCTCCAGAATGGTAAAAAAAAACACAAAACATTAATCTTTGCCAAATATAATAAATGTAATTAAAAACACATTTAGGTACTTTATTAACTCAGCTTCCAAAATGGTTACAGAAAACAGACGTTGTTTCAATCTAACATGAAAGCATCATTTTGTCATGATTACAAATAATATTCTGCATAGGTCCCTATTATAGCTAAGCATAAGAGTTTTTATTTAAATTATTAAATTGTATAGTTTTCTTTCTTTGATAAAAAAGACCACTGTTTTCAATTAGTATGTAGAAAGCTGGTAGAAAGATATTACCAATATTTGCCTTTCTGCAAGATGACCTTATATTGTAGTTGAGGGGTGGAAAGTAAGCAGAAAAATGCCCTAAGAGAATGCAGAGTTGGCCCTGAAAAAGGACTGCCATTCCTATAGGAAATGTGTCACCTTAGGTGTGATTTCAAAGTAGGGGACACAGTAATTTCTCTTTCATTGAGACATAGAAACACAAAGAGTTTTTAAGACAGTACAGAAAAAATTTAAAGAAAGAAATATAAACTAGACACATTAGTACTTTTTTAAAACAAGTATGTTCCTGTAAGCATCAGTCTCTATTAATATGGCTCAATATATGCTTACTATTTATATATATTTATTGTAGATCTTTCTGTTGGCAGATTGTTGAATCATTTTACATAAAGTTCTTAATTCGTCCTAATTAATATTTTTTAAAAAACAAGCAACTATATCATACTAGACACTAATTTCTCAAAGATTCATAATATTTAACTGCTTATTAACTACCCTGATTTCAAAATTTTAGCATATTTAAGAATAATATTTTTCACAGAAGTATATTATTTCTTCATTGTGGTGATCTAGGTTTTATTGATCCTGAAGCATTTTGTAGATAGATAGATAGATAGATAGATAGATAGATAGACAGACAGACAGACAGACAGACAGACAGATAGACAGACAGATAGATAGATATTTGTGGGGAATACATACATTATATATATATGTGAGTAAATTAGTGAGGGCAAATTGGAGTCAAATTATAATTAAAAAAATAGGAAGGCCTCAGGACACTTGCAATCATAGCAGAAGGCAAAGGGGAATTAAGGCACCTTCTTTACAAGGTGGTAGGAAGGAAAATGAACACAGGAGGAACTAATGAACACTTATAAAACAATCAGGTCTTGTGAGAACTCACTCACTATCACAAGAACAACATGGGGGAAACTGCCCCCATGATTCAATTACCTCCACTTGGTCTCTCCCTTGACATGTGGGGATTATGGGGATTATAATTCAAGATGAGACTTGGGTGGAGACACAAAGCCTAACCCTATCATTCTGCCCCTAGCCCCTCCCAAATCTCATGTCCCTTTCACATTTCAAAACAAATCATGCTTTCCCAAATGTCCCCCAAAGTCTTAATTCATTTCAGCATTAACACAAAAGTCCAAGTCCAAAGTCTCACCTGAGACAAGGCAAGCCCCTTCTACCTAGGAGCCTGTAGAATCAAAAGCAAGTTAGTTACTTCCAAAATACAATGGGAGTACAGACATTGTGTAAAATGTTCCTGTTCCAAATGGGAAAAATTAGCCAAAACAAAATTGCTACAGTCTCATGCAAGTCCAAAATCCTGCCAAAATACAGCAAGATTCACCTTTACTTCAGTTCCCAACAATTTCTCATCTCCCTCTGAGACCACCTCAGCCTGGACTTCATTGTCCACACCACTATCAGCATTTTGGTCAAAGCCATTCGAGAAGTCTCTAGGAAGTTCCAAGCTTTCCCATATCTTGCTGTCTTCTGATCCCTCCAAGTCTCTAGTAATTTCCAAACTTTCTCACATCTTCCTGTCTTCTGAGCCCTCCAAACTGTTCCAACCTCTGCTTATTACCCAGTTCCAAAGTCGCTTCCACATTTTGGGGTATCTTTATGGCAGTACCCCACTCTCTGCCATACAAATGTACTATGTTAGTCCATTCTCGCACTGCTATAAAGACATACCCAAGACTGGGTAATTTATAAAGGAAAGAGGTTTAATTGAATCACAGTTCCTCATGGCTGGGAAGGCCTCATGAAACTTACAGTCATGGTGGAAGACAAAGAGGAAGCAATGCAGTAGGAAGGAGATGAACACAGGAGGACCTAGCAAACACTTATAAGACCATCAGATCTTGTGAGAAGTCATTCACTATCACAATAACAACATAGGGAAAACTGCCTCCATGATCCAATTACCTCCACTTGGTTTCTCCCTTGAGAAGTGGGGATTATGGAGGTTATAATTCACAATGAGATTTGGATAGGAACACAAAGCCTAACCAAATCAGACCTCAAGGACTTTTGTTCTCTTGAAGCACTGAAGTTGATTATACCCTGAACCAAATAAGTATAACAAAACTACAAATGAGTTCAATGTTACATATAGTAAATATATCATTAAAATAGACTACAATCAGTGCCCAAAAAGCAAGAATCTAAGAATGTTATGGGAGTGCAGTTCAGGTGGAGCTTCCTGGAAGAAATAAATAACAGACCTCCACTTGATGATGAGCAGTTATTATCCTGTCAAATGTGTGTGTGCTGTGTGGAGATCTGGGGAACTGGAGATTCACTGAGATACAGAGGTGGAGGTGGAAGGGAAAGAAAAGACAATGTGAAGGGTATATGCACAAAGGGCTCTGGATTCAGGGAATACCACTTGTAACTGTAGGGCTGAAACATGAAGTTCAAGAGGGAAAGCATATCATGCCTTCACTGGAGGGGAAGAAAGTTGCTCTTCTAAGCTCATGATTTTACATCCCTTTAAGGCCATGAATAATTACTGAGTGGCTTTAAGTAAGGGAATAATATAATTGGGACTACATTGTTTATTTGTTAAAACCCAATGTAACTCCGTGGTGGTTTTTTTGTTTGTTTGTTTGTTTTTTCAAAGAATGTAATACGATTGTAAAAGTGAAAACAGGGCCACAGTATAATAATAGAATGTTTAGAGTTCTCAAGTCCTAGTAACGCACCCACATTCAGTTTCAAATCCTGTGAAGTTTTAGCACTTTAACTCCACAAAATACACAGGGAGAGATTGGAAACTTAGGGAACAATAATCTTATATGCAGGGAACCCTGTGAAAACAATACCTGGGAAAAGAATAAATCACAAGAACAATCTTTTAACTGACAAATAACCAATACTGATCTTTTAAGAACTCTTCCTCCTTTTTATTTGAAATCTCTCTGAAATAGCCATTTGATGCCAAATTTTCCACCTGGAGACCATATCCACAGGTGATTCCTTGGATTTAGTTTAATCTAATCTTTTCACAATGTGATATTTTCTATCTCTTTTCATACTGAAATTGCCTTTATGACAGTAAAATAAATCTCACCTAAACAGCTCCATCTTGCTTTTGTGTGTGTGTGTGTGTGTGTGTGTGTGTGTGTGTGTGTGTGTGTGTGATGGAGTCTCACTCTGTCACCCAGGCTGGAGTACAGTGGCACGACCTCGGCTCACTGCATCCTACACCTCCTGGGTTCAAGCGAGTCTCCTGCCTCAGCCTCCAGAGTAGCTTGGATTACAGGCGCCTGCCACCATGCCCAGATAATTTTTGTATTTTTAGTAGAGACTAGGTTTTGCCATGTTTGCCAGGCTGGTCTCAAACTCCTGATCTCCAGTGATCCGCCCATCTCAGCTTCCCAAAGTGCTGGGATTACAGGTGTGAGACACTGCACCTGGCCTGGCCAATCTTGCCTTTAACCTCCAAACTACCCTTGGTCATTTCTAGGCACAAGCCAAGCTAACTTTGGGATAAATTTAATTTATAGTTTATAGTATGATAATAGCCCTTTCTAAAACTAAACCACCTTTGTAAAACTAATGAAAAGAGGGTGAGATGGGGCCAAATTCTTCTAAGATATAGGTGTAGTGAAATGATTACCAGCCATTATTCCAGAAGCCACAAGTTTTGCAACTTTCCTCGTTACTTCTGTAAATAGCATAACTATTGTAGAACCTAAGATTGGCCTTTTGAGATGTTCTTTCAGTTTTTTCTGTTGTTGTTGTTGTTGTTTTTGTTTTGTTTTCATTTCTGATGACCACATGGCTCCATCTGGACCAGCGAGTCCTCTGTGGTCCCCACCCAGGAGAGGACTCACACAGTAGGACTGTTTTCCATACCCTACGATTGTATCCCCAACCAATCAGCAGTACCCATTTACTAGCTCCCTGTCTGCCAAACTATCCTTAACAAACAATAGTCTTTGAATTTGGGGGGAGGCTGATGGGTAATAATAAAACCCCAGTCTCCCATTCAGCTGGCTCTACATATATTAAACTCTTCTGTATTGTAATTCCTGTCTTGGTAAATTGACTCTACCTGGGAGGCAGGCAAAATGAACCCAGTGGGCGGTTACAATACTCTTTTCTTCATATGCCATTGTGTAGACAAATATTTCTCCCTTATGTTATTATGAATAACAAAATTTACATGTGTTTCCATACACACACACCCCCACACACACACACAACAAATAAGTAAATTCACTTAATACTCTTCTATTTCTTTCTAGTTAGTGCCAAATTTCTCACAGCTATGCTGTATACATCTTAAGTCTCTTACAATCTGACTTTCACTCCCATTATTCATTAGAAGAAATGGTGAAAAAAAATTCAGGTGTAATCCTCCTTTATTTTCCTGTCACATAGGATGCTCATATTTGAAAACTTGAAATCACCTATAACTTTAATATACCTCTCATTTAATTGATCACATATGGACTATTTCTTCAGAGCTACCCTCTTGTGATAAAATCTCATAGCTGTTATAAAGGCCTCCTCAAGGTCATCCCTTGTAATTTGCCTGGATGTCAGACAGGAACATTGGTAAGAATAGTTGATCCTTGGTGAGAATGGGGTTACCTAAGTGATTACTTAAGAAAGGTGTGAGTGAAGACCTCTTCCCCTGGGCATTTTGGCCAGCGAAGGAGAATGGGACCAGAACTCCCAGGAATTAAATTGCTTTCTGGATAAGTGCCCATTGAAATTGTTTTTTTGAAAAATAATTGAATTTGATTATATGGCAATTCTCTGTAGAATACAAAGTGAGCAGTGTGGGTGTGTATGTATATATATATATATAATTTTTGTTCACATTAAACAACTTACTTCTCTTGCTCTTCCTTCTTCTGCTCTCAGTCACTCTTAGGGTTTAGTTTCTGAGGTCTCTAGAAGATGTTTATTTGTCTGTGAGGTCAATTAATTCCATTATTCCATTCGTGTTTTCTTATTCTTTAAAGATTTTCTTGGAGATTCAAGGTTTTGCAGCTATGATGATAAGATTTCATAAAGCTTCCCAAACTGCCTGAATCAAGCACTGCAAATCATCCAAACTTCCCAAAAGAATTAAAAAATAGGAATGCAGAGAAAATTTGGAATGAAGGTATTTATGATAATTGATATCAGAATCAACATTCAATAATCTGCAATGCAATACTTTCTTATAACAGAAGAACAGAAGAACTGCTAGTACATTTGTTATGGTTTAAGGCTAAATTAGGGACTTCTACACTGTCCCCCTTCCCTCTCCAAACATTACCAACCCAAATTTCTCAAGAGGAGATTAAACTTGCTACTCCTATGTGTTCCAAAACTCAAGATGCTCTTAGCCTGATGCTGCTACTGATAATGACCTTTCTAAGTTTTTGGCTTCGAAGATTCAACAAAAATATATGATCTCTGCCACATGGCTTGCTTTCTAAATCTTGCTGGGTTTTTTTAAGTTTCTTTTTTTTTTTTATTTAATTCTCAGAGACTTGTTTAACATCAACTGTGGTTGTTTTACCAGGAATTACACCCAAGTATCTTGATGAAAACCAGTAATGGGCACAAGTGAATACAGGAGATTATTTCTTAAATTATTCTTCACAGCCATAGCTTGAAGGAGAAGGCAAATATGGTCAGAGGCCTTATTGCCCGGACCACCTAGTAGATGTATACCATTCTTTGCTTGTGTACTGCAGAGAGAGGGCAGCACACTGGTGTTGCCTTTGAACCATAGTAAGATAGCTTATTAGGGAAGAGATATCACTATACTTAACAAGTTCACTAACTCCTATTTGACAAAAATGATAGGGAAACATGCAGGAGTAGGGGAGAGGAGAGACAAACAGTCAACTACTTGCAGATGTTTCATACCCTGTGTCCTGTATTAGAATACCTATACAATTAGGTTAATGAAATTGCCATTTTTTTTGGTCAAAGTATATTGAATATTGGCACTTTCATGTGATTCAAACTCAAGTGATCACAGTTGGTTTCTGTCTGTAGGAATGATGAACGAAATGTGAGGATGAGTAGGAAACTATCCAGAGAGACTCTAGCTGGCTAGGTGTGACCTAGTGCGCCCACTCACAGCCAAAGATTAATTCTGTATTCTTAATAGGGACCAGAGAATGTTCTACTGGCTACATTGTTATAACATTTAAAGATTATTTTGAAAGGCATAACTCTTTGTTACCTACAGCTCTTAAGAGAGAAGGCTGCCAGGCAGGGCCATACCCAAGAATAGGGTTGTTCCCAGAGATACAGAAGCAGCAAGCTGGAGCTGTAGGAGTGGCTTATGTAAAGCAAATATAATTGGCTAGGTTTTGTGAGTGGAGATTGGCTGATTTGAAAAACATTCTGCACACCAAGGCATAAAACTGTCTCTAGATGTCTCATACCTGGCCACAGGATGATTAGGGCAGGTAGGTGTGTAGTGGCCCAAAATAGGAGAGTCAGAAAAGAAAAATGGCTGAGCATATATTTAATTAGCTGCTCAAGAAGGAAAACTGATTGGTCCCTAGTCAGGACCTAAAAACTGGGTCAAAACAGCATTTTAAAAAAATCGAAACTCAATACTATCGATTGTTGTTTCGACCTCAGTTTTGAGCTTGATTATTTGGGGTATTTGAGCGGCCCTTATAGTAGAGGAGACTTTTAGAGGATCAGGCTTAACCTGTCTTAAACAGCATAGAAAACATGTTTATTTTGAGAGTAAAAAGGTGGAAAGCAAGTAGAGGAATAAAGCATTCTTGTAGGTCAGCCAGTAACCAAGTTTCCCATTTATATGGCCTTAGCCAAGGAAACAAGTCTGAAAATTTGGAGGTGTCTAACAATATATTGGTGGAGATTAAAAGTGCACTAAAAGTGTGAGTTACTTTTATTTATTTATTTATTTATTTACTTATTTTTTTGAGACGGAGTCTCACTCATCACCCAGGCTGGAGTACAGTGGTGCAATCTCGGCTCACTGCAAGCTCCGCCTCCCAGGTTCACGCCATTCTCCTGCTGCAGCCTCCCAAGTAGCTGGGACTACAGGCACCCGCCACCACATCTGGCTAATTTTTTGTATTTTTAGTAGAGATGGGGTTTCACCGTGTTAGCCAGGATGGTCTCGATCTCCTAACCTCATGATCCACCCGCCTCGGCCTCCCAAAGTGCTGGGATTACAGGCGTGAGCCACCGCACCTGGCCACCTTTTTTTTGTTTTGTTTTTTTGACAATAATATCCTGGCATATTCTTGGGGTCAAAGTGGCAGGTCTAGCAGTTACATTATTGGAGGGTATTAACTGATGGTTTAGTAAGGTATATGTAAAGATTAATGGTATATGTTTTATAGCTAAGGGGAGGGTGTAGTTCTTTGCTCATAGTCAGAGACAAAGCATGGGAAGTGTTGTGGAAAGCTGGATGGGATGTAAGAGATGGCCCCTGGAAGTGAAATGTCCTCTTCCTAGAAGTGCGTTACCAATATGCGATAGTTGCCTCTTGGGGAAAGTAATAATCTCCATTCATTTTTAGAACAGTGCAGATAGTGGAGCACCTACCAGATTTCTCTCTAGCAATGGAAGTATAAGGGTGTACACCAGGTCATTGATTGAGCAAACAGAGAGCTCCCTAATATCAGCGGAATAAAAACAACACGTTTCCTGTCCAACTTGTCAGTGCTTTCGGAGAGACTGCCCATGGGCATTGCTGGGGCATTAGTCTCAGTGCTCAGAGTAAAGTTGCCTCTGACACAGGTCTTGGGTTGGAACAATGTCATTGAGGTGATTTCATCTCTAGAAGTGAGCTTCTGGGCTTGGACAATATTGTCTGACATGTGGGACTGCAGTATATTTCCCAAGTGTATACCACTCAGGTGAACATGAGTACAACATTGGGCTTGAGAGCTAGACCTCCACCTGGAAAGATGAAACTCCCATAATGCATCAAAATACTAGAACCTGTCTGGCAAGAGAATCATCTCAATTAAACGCGGCCAGATCTAAAATCTCCCAACAGTTTAAGGTTTTCCCAGATGGGTGATGAAAGGGGTTTTGCTGCAAATAGGTCTTAACTTATATGGCCTGATTTGGGTCTGTGTGATTAATAGAGTGTTATATTGCTTGCCAATTAAAACATCCAAAGCTACCATTGGAGCTCCAGCATTATCCTGTAGGCAGACCCTCCAGTTTAGCCGATTACTATGGTCTCCTCCTTTCTTCAGCTGTCAATGTGGTTGATGAGGGCAAGTTAGTAACGTGTTTATGATAAAGGGCTTGTGTTAGCCACAGCTGAGCTTTTAAACTCAGAATTTGTCCTGTTTGGTTGAAACAATGACTTACTTGCAAGGTTTGAGCTTCCAGATTGCAAGCTAATGAAAGCACTCAGACCAATACTAACAAGAACAATACTCAACAGGTTGATGTGCAATTGTACTTGACAGGCTTTTGCTATTTGATGGTGATTTTTCTCCAGCATATATTATTACCAAGGAGGGGTTTTCTGGTGTTATAATTATGGCATAATGTGTTGATTCTATTATTATCCTCAAATGTGATTTACTGAGTTAATTTTTTAATCTCCATTTTTGGCAGCCCATATTGTCTGTGGGGTTTTCCCAGAGAGGTGATGAGAAGAGTTTTGCTGCAGACAGATCCTGTGTGTGTGTTAGGCCATTCTTTATTATTTTTTTGAGATGGAGTCTCGCTCTATTGCCCAGGCTGGAGTGCAATGGAGCAATGTCAGCTCACTAAAACCTCCACCTTCCAGGTTCAAGTGATTCTCCTGTCTCAGCCTTCTGAGTAGCTGGGATTACAGGTGTGCGCCACCACGCCTGGCTAATTTTTGCATTTTTAGTAGAGACGGGGTTTCTCCATGTTGGTTAGGCTGGTCTCAAACTCCTGTCCTCAAGTGATCCACCTGCCTCGGCCTCCCAAAGTGTTGGGATTATACGCATGAGCCACCGTGCGTGCCCAGCCCAGGCCATTCTCACATTGCTATAAATAAATACCTGAAACTGGGTAATTTATTAAAAAAAAAAAAAACACAGAGAGAAGGTCGGGCACAGTGGCTCATGCCTGTAATCCCACAGTTCGGGAGGCCTAGGCAGGCAGATCACCCGAGGTCAGAAGTTCGAGACCAGCCTGGCCAACATGGTGAAACCCCACCTCTACCAAAAATACAAAAATTATCTGGGCATGATGGCACTTGCCTGTAATCCCGGCTACTCAGGAGGCTGAGGCAGGAGAATTGCTTGAACCTTGGAGGTGGAGATATCAGTGAGCCAAGATCGCACCATTGCACTCCAGCCTTGCTCCAGCAGAGCAAGACTCCATCTCAAAAAATAAAAAAAATAAAGAAAGAAAAGAGAGAGAGAGATTTAATTGCCTCACAAGTTCTGCATGCAGGCTTTACAGGAAGCAAGGTGCTTGCATATGTTTGGTTTCTAGGGAGGCTCAGGAGGCTTACACTCACGGCAGAAGGTGAATGGGGAGCAGGCATATCACACAGCAAAAACAGGAACAAACAAGAGAGGGTGTGGGAAGGGAGGTGCCACACACTTTTAAATGACCAGATCTCTCAAGAACTTACTACCATGAAGACAGCAGCAAGCCATGAGGGACCATGATCCAAACACCTCCCACCAGGCCCCACCTTTAGCATTAAAGATTACAGTTCAACAACAGATTTGAGCAGGAACAAATAGCCAAACTATATCACTGCAATACTAATTTCAATTTACTAAATTAAATTAGACCATCAGAGGGACAGTCCAGATTAATTATCCTCTTCTTAACCTGAATATTGAAGATTATTTGGGTGGTAGAAATGCAGCCTCAAATGATTCCCCTAACAAATGAGCAGGTTCCTAGCACATGAGATAATTTGTGATTAATGAGGCCTGGAAGAATATGTGCCCTTTATTTGGCCTCCAGCACTTATGGGAAGAGGGTAGGATTAAAAACTCATAAGATATGGGGAGGCATTATTAAAGGGCCTAGTATGTAAAGAGTCTTTACATGGAAGTTACACATATTCTATTTTAAATATATTAAAAAGACATGAAAAGGTTTTTTGAGGTTTGTTGTTATTGTTGTTTGTTTGTTTTGAGTTGGTGTGAGGTATTTGTTGGCTAAGGGGTCTTAAGAAAGACTAAGACCTGGGGCAAAACAAAGACCCATTTATATCTCCACTTACCATTTCATAATTTAAATAGACATCATTTGAGGAGATCAACTGGACTGTCAACTAAACCAGCTGCCTGGGACCTATCAGGGAAATGAAAGTTTTAGTGAAAGTCTTTCAAAAGCCCAGCACTGTGTACTTTGAGAAGGGAAATATGTGTCTTGGTCATGATCGGTAATGTCTCCAACTCTAAAGGGAATAAAGAGTGTCCTGGTGAGACCTTGTGTTGTGGCTTTAGTATATGTAGTGATATGTGTGATCTTGATTTATATTTTGGGTTTCTGTAAGACAAGAGATTTCCATAAAGGGGACAACTCTTAGGCAATGGCCCAAGAGTTTCTAAAAATGTGCAGATGAGGTATTTGGTGATCAGTACATCCAGTCCTACAATGACTATCTGAAGTTTGGTCACTTGCGTCCAGTCCTTTATCAGAGACATCCTAGTTAAGAGATAGAAAGCAGCAATATGCCACTCACCTCTTTCACCAATGATGCTGGAAATAACATCTGTACAGCCTACAATTCCTATGGCTTTTCATTCAGTTAATTCCAAGGGAGTCCGAGGTACAGGTAACCAAGGGGCCTTTATTGGGGATGACCTCTCCCAGCACCCTGTCTAATGCACCTGGCAACAGACTGAGGACAGAGAGGTCATCCCCTCCTACAGGTGGAATATACCAGAGGGGCCCAGGTTTGGCTCCACCTTGTATCGAGGGGGCCTCAGTAGCTGTGTAGAGCTTGTGGTGTGTTACTTTCATTGCTGAAGGCATAATGGGCAGCTGGATATGAAGAGTCACAGACTCGGGATATATGAAAGGCTCTATTTCCAGAAGAATACAGAAAGCAGCCAGTAATTTTCTTTCTAATGATATACAGGCTGGAGCCAAGAAGGGCAATATTTTGCTATCAGAAGCCTATGGGTAACTTATAGCTATCATAGGTTGTTCAAAGACCTATTAAGAGGCACAAGAATGAGTTACTAAAGCCTCTACAATAATTCACCTTGGGGTGCATTTATTTTTTCCAGGTTTAATAAAAGGTATAATTGGGCTATTAAACAAAGAAGCAGTGGGCACAATTACCTCTAGTTAGGTCTTACGTAGTAAGTTTTAATCCTTCAGGGCCCTGTTTTAACTTACATTGGACCATTTTAACTATTTTAACTGGGGATTTATGGGATTCCATTTCATCCAGCCAATTTGCAAGTGCCAAAAGTGTATTTTTCATTTTTTGCTCATTGCATCAGTGTATCTATGCCCACCATGAAATAGTTTGGGGTAATGAGTACTATAACAATGGGAAAATTAGACAAGAGGATAGTTAAAATGAAGCATACCTATTTTTCCACTATTTTATATTTAGTTATTTTGCTAAAATTAGGGAGGACATTTTGTGTAAATTTAGAAGAATACGTTGGTATAACTATATTTGAGACCCAGTATTAGGTCTATGAAGCTCTGTGAGTTCAATTGGTGTCTTTTAGCAAATGTTAAAGTTGTATTAGAACCTGTGTTGTAGACATACAAAATCCAATCAGTGCCCTTTTAACTCTTTTGTTATGTAATTTTTACAAATAAACTTTGAATTTCTAGTTGGGTAAGATTTTGGACCTTTAATTTAATAAGATATTTGTATGTATTTTTTACTTCTTCCCTTTGTATCTTGTTTTTTGAAATATTTTTTAAACTTTCTTTGTTTGTTTGTTTGTTTCGGGCTTCTAGCCACCCAAAGCTATGATTTTTAGTTTTTGTCTCTGTCTGATAGCTCATAGTGCCAATCTTCTAGGCAGTTACAGGAAAAGGGTTGGGGACCGGGTCCTGTGACCTGTCTCCTTGGTAGCCATCTCTAGTTTCAAGGCTTCTCAGTCCACCTCTGAGGATCAGGGTCTGCACTGAGAGTGCTATAGCAGCCTCTCCTTGGATAGCTTCCTTGTCTGAAATTTCAGTCCCTTCACATGTAGATATACAGTGGCAGTTACTAAGGCCTGAACACAGTGGCTAGGGTTTTGCATTAGATAAGCAACTAGGTAACTTCAATAGGTGGAGAGTAGGGGAGGGTGCAGGGATGAAATATTTGTCATCCCTTGCCCCCTTTGAATTAAAAACAGAGTGCTGGCCTCCAATGGTGAAACCTACAATACCCCTGAGGTTTAGGGAGCAGGAAAATCATGGTCATCCAGCAAGTTAATGCAGGAGCAAAGAAAACAGATAGGTTGAAAATTAAGTATCTATAGTTTTAATAAAAAATATGTCAGAGAGAGCTTGCTTTGGTTTTCTCATGGAAGATATGGATCTATTGAATTTACATAAGGCAGTGGTTATCATGCATTGGAAAATTCCACCAAAGGTAAGAAATAACACGTCTTCTTTGGTAGATTTTTAAGATTTAGAAATCCAGTTTGACTGTGATTAAAAATTGGTCAATTCATTATTTGTTCACTATATTGACAGTTTTATTTTCCCACTCATCTCTATTATTCATGTGAAACCCCAATTTCTTAATAATAGTAATAAGAAAGGTAATAACAATTTACAATTATGGAGTGTTTACTCTAAGACAAGACCTAGGATGTTTTGTAATCCTTATTTCCTTTCCTCATATAGCAAAACCCCTTCACATTCAAGCTGACATTCTCTTCAAATAAGTAACTTAGAACTGGCATATGTGTAACTAGATATGTTACACATATGTTCCTTAAGTGAGGGTACAATGAGTTTGGACACTATATTTCTTTAAATTTTAGAGCTAAATAAAGTCCATTTTTCTTCAAGATTCTCTGAGTAATTTTTTTTTCAATTGCATTTGCAGACTGAGATCCTCAACAAAGTTAAGCAGAATAAAGTGATCACGGCCAGAATTAAAGGTAAATTCTTGTAAAAAACATCTCAAGTGTAGGTCAACCGCCCCAGAGTCTCCCTCTTATAATTGCCTCTGTCTGAGACCCATCAAGTACAATTACTCTCCATGAGAGTAGAGGATGTCTTGCTTACTTCCTTTATCTCCTGCCTCAATTATCAGGACTTCCCTCACAATTCCATCTAGCATAGCTCCTTCTGTCTCTCTCCAACAACTTTTCACTCTTTTTATTTTTTTTATTTTTTATTATACTTTAAGTTCTAGGGTACATGTGCACAACATGCAGGTTTGTTACATATGTATACATGTGCCATGTTGGTGTGTTGCACTCATTAACTTGTCATTTACATTAGGTATAACTCCTAATGCTATCCCTCCCCCCTCCCCCCACCCCACAACAGGCCCCGGTGTGTGATGTTCCCCTTCCTGTGTCCAAGTGTTCACTCTTTACCATCTCACCTTGCTCTATTTTTCTTCAGAGTACTTTTATTAACTGACATATTTGTAATTATTATTTATTACCTAACTCACTTTTCAAGAATATCCCCAGCACTTAGAACAATGGCTGTTATATAGTAGGTGCTTTATAAATGTTTATTAACTATATTAATCAAAAACATATTTTGAACATTCTTAAAATACATTGTTTTGTACTTATATAAAACACTGCTAACAAATTTACAGAACTTAAATAAATACAGTAAACTCCCACCAGTGTTAGAACTTTCCGTACATTTCCTTAGAAAAAAACTTAATGAAAAATTATTTATAACTGGTTTATCTTTTAACTTGCTAAATAGCTTAATAAAACTACTTCTAGTCATCTGACCTTCCTAAGTGTAGAAACCATGGCAAGAGTTTCCAAAGTCCTGTGGGAAATTGTTTGAAGAGTTTTCCCCATGCAGTAGATTTAATAAATAAGAAATACTAAGATGTAGAAATCTTCTTTGAACATAGCAATTATTTTCTATTAATTAATTTTTTTCATAGTAGTTAGTACAAATTCCTGCAATAATTACAATTGTAATAGGAATGCAAATTCCCGACTGCACTTTATTGATATTATCTCAACTGAGATACTCTGAAGAAAACCAAGTAGTAGTTTGAACTTTTAGGTTGTGTTTTGATTTTATATCAGATCTCCCAATTTAAAAAGCTAGTCACCTGTCAAACAAACCTCACTTTGTCCAAAATATTGACTTCTCATTTCTAGGGAACACAGTGTGTTTTCTAACAAACTTATTTAAAAGTTAAGTGCATTTATAAAATTATAATTGAAAACAAGGAAAATATTTTAAGATAAATTAATGAAGTATTCATCCTACCAGGTTTAACTTAACTTTTAAGTTACCAGAAATTCAAATATTCTGTGAAATATTAACACAGTTAATTAAATACAGATAAAAGTTTAAGAGCAAGAATATTACCTTCTTTCTCTCTCACACACACACATGCACACACAAACACCAACACAGACACACACATCATAATGTTTGATCAGAGAATACAAGCAAAATTTGAGGTCAAATGCACAGCAGCAGAATTAATTTACAAGATAAAAACTAGGAATAAAGATAAGTAGAGCTACATGTATAAGAAAATAGAATTATGTTTTAAAATAGCTTTAGAAATAGAAACAGCTATTTATAGGGAAACAAAGGGGATGTAATCAAGAACCTTCTAGAGACCAGACACATGAGTAACATAATGGTCCAAATTCACTCTTGATTTCTATGAAGGGCCCAAATATTCATAGAGTTCTGTCTCTTTCAACATGGTTGCCAGGAAACACTTTCTCATATTCCGTACGGCCACACTGCTTTAATAGAGTTAATAATATTATACACACACACACACACACACACACACACACACATGCATGTGCACATGCATCTTTGGTTGAGTTCTAAAGATAGACTCTTAAATTCAAGACTTCTTATATTCTGCAACTCATAGAATAATGCTAGCCCCATACTTATTTAAACCCAATGAAAGTCATAAGACATATATGCCTTTGAGTTTTAATATCTGTTTCTCCTCTTAAATTATGAGAGTGAAGCGTTAGTGACCTGTTTATATCACAAAGCCAATAAAGTAAAAATTAAAACTCATTTTTATCTTTAAATGCAAACTCAATAAGTTTGTTGATCAGAAATAGTAACAAGTTAGATGTATTGCTTATTTGCATCTTAGTTCTCCCACAAAAATTATTTCAATTGAGTTTCAAATATTATTTTTGCTTATTTTAGGAAAATTATTTTTGTGTTTCAGAATTAGTTTCACTAAAGACTGAAAATACAAGTCCCAAACATAAAGCACAACATAATTGTTTTTTAAAAAGCAAATTAATATAACGCAAGAAAAAGGTACGCATGCATACATTTAATGTCAGCCTTATATGCAGCTTGACTGACAGAGTTTTAATTCTCAAGAGACTCTGCCTACTGTGAATATATTCCTTCAGAATTTCTATTTAGAGATATGTAGGGTATAAAGATCAACATTGAGATGTATTTCAAAATGACTGAACTGCTCAACAATTTGTTGAAATACAAGGTAAACCAATTACAATTTATTTCTGAATTCATTTATAGTATTTTATTCAAATAATTTAATATTTGGTTGAATGTAAGAATGTTATTTTTAATCAACCACTTAATTGCCACAGACAGTCACCTTGTAAATGTCACTGAGTACTTTCATATGTAAGTAACAGTTCAAATGTAATGCCAACATCAAATAAAGATTTTCCATATTGCCAAATAAAAGTAATTATCTGAAACAGAAACTGGGGAAATTTTTGAAATAGTATCTCATTAACCATCATTGGTCTACAAAATGATAGCAGTAGAAATGCAGCCTACAATAATAATAAGAGTATTGTGTATGTGTGTGTGTGTGTTCCTATAAATCTAATTTTATGCTTTCATTGGCTTCATGAGGGCATGGAGAGGGCAAAAATGTCTCCACCAAGACGTGGGACATGAGAATAAGATTTCACTTTGGCAGTTAAATTCTAAATTCAACAAGCACATGTAAGATCAGAGATACACAAATATATGAGAACAGAATCACTTGCCAGCAAGAGGAACTTGACAGTAAATGGATCAATAAATTACCTGCTAAGTTTAAAAATGTGCCAGCTGGAAAAAAAATTGTCAGAAAGGTATACAAAGAAAAAAGGAGGCATTTTGGCAGCAGTCATCCATCATTAAGCAAGGAAGAGATTGCTTTGAACCAATAGCTGAACCCCTCATATGGAATAAAAAGTAAATCTATTGAGAAAATGGACATATTTGGTGTTTTAGCCTGTAGGCATTAAATATTCAAATGATATAACTACTGCTCAGCTATATCCCAGCCTCTCTAACACCAGTTCTGGTTCCGTATTCAGCCAGCAATCTTCTGATGGTGGTTTTCTCATGCAGCTTGCCTAAAGGAAATGTGCTATGGCAGTTATATTTCTATTGTAAGAAAATAAATTGGCATTGTAACTTATATATGTCACCTTTGATTTTAATCAACATGAGATAGCCTTTTCAAGCTGGATCAACTTGATACTGTTGAACTGTAACAAGAATTTGTCCTTAAAAAGCAGAAGACCAGGTCACCCTATCCTACACTATGTTTAAATAAACATGGTAAATATCCTTTTGCAATGTCTCTCTTTGGCAAACTTGTGATCCCTTTTTCACGATATCTTTAAGAAGAAATCTACAAATACTATTGCAGTATACTACAAATAATTATAAACTTCTAAGTAAGTATATTTTCTAATTTTATAAAATATTTATAAATGTTCTTTGTAATTCCATTATAGACCATATTATAGACAAAAATGTTGTTATATATCTTCTTCCCCTTACTAGAAATTAAAATTTTCTTACTCCGATTTAAATATCTAATTTTATTAAGACTTTTTAAAGTATGCATAGATGTGAAGAAATTTGCATATTTTCTAATTCCTTCTTAATAGAACTCCACTTATTATGATACTAAGGTATCTATCATTTGGGAATTCTGCTCCTATTATTTATTTCAAGATTTTACTTCAAGCTCTTGCATTCCAAAAGGACATACAGATGAGTTATATGTAGGCTTCACATAATTGTCTCTGAATAATGCTTGAATTCATTCTTAATCAAAAGCAGGAATCTTTCCATGTAAAGGTTGAATCCTGTTAAATAAAGACTGAATTTTGTAGTATCTGAACGCTAGCCCTATTACACATGATAATGACTATTTATGATATTCACTAGTAATTTAAAATCCTTCAATTAATAGACAGTGAGATGAATGTTTAAATAAGCCTTTAATACCTTTACGCTTGTACCTCTGGGTTCAGGTTTCCTACTCAGACTCCACTTTAACTAATTCAATAATTAAATGTTTAATATAAAATAATCATTGAATAATAAAATCAACACCTTATACATTCGGAACGACGTGGGTCATTCATTCATACATTTATTCTACAAGTACTATGTCTAACTGATGGACGCTGATAAATCAGATTACAAACTGGTAACAGAGGTACCTCAATGCACAGAGAATATATACACACAGAACGATAAGACACATAAAAGTAGGTATTTGCTTTAGATAATTATTTGATTTTAATTCAATTGAAATAATATTTAGTTGAATATTTACTTCATGCTAAAAACATGCTACATGAAAACTGTGCAGAGTTGAAGAAAGGATTAAAGAAGACACAATTCAAAACAGAACTTAAGCATGCTTTTATAAATACATATACCATGAAGCTGGAAGCCATCATTCTCAGCAAACTAACACAGGAACAAAAAACCAAACACCGAATATTCTCACTCATAAGTAGGAGTTGAACAATAATGTTCTCACTCATAAGTGGGAGAGAACACAAAGACACAGGGAGGGGAACATCACACACTGGGGCCTGTCGTGGGGGACGGGGGCAAGGGGAGAGAGAGCATTAGGACTACTACCTAATGCATGCTGGGCTTAAAACCTAGATCAAGGGTTGATAGGTGCAGCAAACCACCATGGCACATGTATACCCATGTAACAAACCTGCATGTTTTGCACTTGTATCCCAGAACTTAAAGTAAAATATATATATATACACACATATACATACAGAAATTTGGAGATAGGACAGACTGAAAAGAATAACTCTCTTTAGCAAATATGGAAAGGGTGGTGATGAAAGAAAATGGAATTTAGGGGAAAACATCACAGAAACAATGTGGATCTTAAAAAATAACTGGATTGTTAACAAACAGTGGCATTCCAAGCCAAGGCAAGAGCATATGCAAAGGCATAGAAGTTCACAAGTGCAGGCTTTTTATTCTGGAATAGCACTCTGCTTAATGTCCTTGTGGTGGTATTTTAATGGAGGATGGTCTCTGAAGATATTGCTGTAAAGATGATTTAGGTGAGAATCATTTAATTCAGGCATTATCATTCAAAAACTGCCACATGATAGTCACTCTGATTGACCCTGGAAGTACAGAGAGAATAACTGTACCTACCTTATAGAATTGCTGTGTGAATTAAGTTATTTGATATTCTTAGAGCATTTAATTCAGTGTTTGATTTTTAGGGGAAGCTTATTGTAGAACTGTTAGCTTCTTGTAGAACTCAAAAGTAGAGCTGAATCTAAAAAAATACAGATTTCTGAAGTCACATGAATATGTATGGTTGTTTCAGCCATGGCAGTTTAGAAGAGATGGCTCAAGATGAAGACCTGGCATAAGAACACAAGCTGTCCACACTAATATCCTCAATGCACAGAGAAAATAGTGAAAAATAGGCTTATTTTAAAAAGCATTCAGCTAAGTCAGATTAAAAGGAGAGACTGGAATTTCATAGGCCATGGAAGATGAGAGTGTCAAAATGGAGTGTTTGTCCATCCTTATCACATTCTTAGAGGGTTGGCAAAGTAATTGAACTGGAAAGAAGTCAATAAGGTTTTGGTTTCCAATGACAAACACTGTTCCTAAAAAGTGAAAATAAGGAAGAAGTCAGATTTTAATGGGATGACCAGGACCTACATAGTATAACAATCATTGGCAACATGTTCACCAAGTGTGATGATAAACAGAGGAAGAGAAAGAAGATATTTTTTAAAGAGAAGGAAACTCAAAGATTTTTAGTGTTTCTGTTCATTTATTTTACGTTTATGTATGTGAACTTTAAAGATAGGGAAGATGAGCATTTTGTTTAGAGGAAGGAGAAAGGGAAGCTTCTTGAAATTAAAGGAAAGGGTAACGGATAAATTTCTCATCTGGGGTGAAACATCACAGACTTCAAAATTCAGGGCATCGACATTCAGGCAAGGAGCAGCTACATCTATCTCTAACCCTCCCTGATTTATGAAGTAAGATATCCTGATATTCTGCTTGGCTTGGTAGTAGGTAAAACAGCCTACAGATAACAGGAAATCTCAACTGGCATATATAGATGAGACAAGGATAGGTTAATGAATGGGATCAATCAAACACATGTAGGGAAGTCAAGGCATTTTAGGCAGAGGAAATGACAAGAATAAAACGAATAGCTTTTCATTTCCACTTGCTGTCTTCTTTCCATTAATGATAGGTATAAGACAGGCAACATGGCATAATGGCTAAGAGCATGGAAACCTGATCCAGCATGAGATTGGATCCTGACTCTACCACTTATTATATGTATAACTCTGTGATAGGTCATATGTAAACAATTCCCAAGGACAAACTCATGTGATGGCTCCAAAACATACAGCAGCTGAGGGAATGACTGCAGTAGTCCTAATGGGAAATTTGGGTTGCATACTTTCAGTGCTTGATTCTCCTAATCTGTAAAAGTGGTTTTCAACCCATCTAGAAGGCAGAGGCAAGTAATGCTGCTAAACATCCTACAGTACACAGTAGCACCTCCCACAGTAAATAATTATCCAGCCCAAAATATCAGCAGTGTCAAAGTTAAGACATCTTAATCCAAAAAATGGAGACAATAATTGTTGTGTACCGGGCTCATAAAGCTGTTGTAAGGTTTAAATATGTTAACCCTTGTAAAGCATGTAGAATAGTGCCTAGTGTTAAATGTACACAATAAAGGCCAACTAACATAAAAATAATAACGACAATGATGATAATGTCTCAAATTCTATCCTATATTACTTCTTAAAAGTACATGAAATTCATCTCACCATTGTACCCATGTATAAAGATAATTCAAGAGGCACATATCTATATGAGTAAAGAAGGCTTCTTAGACTATTTAACTGATATAAATATTTCTGGTTAAAAAGTAAAATATTATTTAGGATAGCCATTGTTCTAAGATAAATAACGAACTTAACTGCTTTTGTTTTCTCATTGAATTGTCCAAACATTTCAATGATAAATATGTTCAATTTTTTTTCTTATGACAGAATATTTGATTTTATTTAGAAGTAATATGTATTTGTAGGAAAAAGAACTGTGGTGAATTTTAATACAGAAAAATAAATATAAAACAAACACTTGAGCAGAGAAAAATATGCAACCATGACTATAAAACTAATGATGGTTATTTTCTTTCCCTACCCAGCAACAGAACTTGTATTTTCATTTCCTGTCATTCATTTATTATTTCAAAACTTGTACGGGATAGAATCCCCACAGCTGCAACATTAAAAAAAAATTTAAAAAATGAATAGTTTTAATTTTAGTTTACTTAAACATGTAAGTTTGTATTGTTGCTTTGTTTCAATTTGTTTCTTTGTTTTATCTCATATAACAAGAATTCCACCAATGTGGCGACAGTTACAATAGGTCAGGGCTCTGTTTCCATTTGTCTTTTGTTTTTCATGGTTCCATCTTCCTTCTTCTTTGGGCTTCATTATCAGACAAGTAGAAAAAAGCTAAGATACTTCTTGAGAGTCTTTTAAAGGTCCAATATACAACAACATCCAGAGATAAGAAAAGGGTTTTTATTCTTATTGAAATCATAACACCTTGGCCAGAAGTTCTCCTTCCAGCAGATTTTCCCTTTTAACTCACCGACTTACGAATAAACAAATCAAATTTTTTTTTTTTTTTTTTTTTGAGACGGAGTCTCGCTCTGTCACCCAGAGCTGGAGTGCAATGGCGCGATCTCGGCTCACTGCAAGCTCCGCCTCCCAGGTTCACACCATTCTCCTGCCTCAGCCTCCCGATTAGCTGGGACTACGGGTGCCCGCAACCACGCCCGGCTAATTTTTTGTAGTTTTAGTAGAGATGGGGTTTCACCGTGTTAGCCAGGATGGTCTCGATCTCCTGACCTCGTGATCTGCCCGCCTCAGCCTCCCAAACTGCTGCAATTACAGGAGTGAGCCACCACGCCTGGCCAAACAAGTCTATTTCAAACAGAATTATGCCATCACCAGTTTAGACAAATATGGCTTCTCTTCTAAATAAATGTTTTCCCAGAATAAATGGCTATGAGGCAGAGGAGACTATTTGATTAAAGCCGAGATTATCTTAGGAAAGAAGAAATAGAAAGGTTAGACAAGGGTTCTGTATCACTTCATCCTACACTTTAATGTGTACATGAACCATTTAGAGATCTTGATAAAGTGCCAATTTGGAACCAGTAGTCCTGTAGGTAATCTTAGATCCTGAATTTCCAATAACTTTCCAGTGATGCCAATAATCCTGGCCCCTGGACAAAAATTTGAGTAGGAAGGTGTGAGAACTTTCATTATGCACTTACTCTGAATTTGGTCTTTACTAGTACTTGAAATGCAAAGTAAAATAATCATGGTCTGTATCCTCAAGGAAATCAAGAGTAATGGGGAATTTATAGTCTAGTGTTAGTCTAGATTTCTAGTGGGAAAAGAAAAATACATGAATATATCATTACAAACTTGAAATTTGAAATATGGTTATCCTTACACTCTCAGTATAAAATAAGTTGATATTTAACTCTTATGGATTACATGCTAATGTAATCACCTTGCAAAAATATTTAAAAGTGTTAAGTCATTTATTCCTATTGATAATTTTAATAGATGTGATATGGAGATAAACTCTATATTTTATCTCTACATCTCTAGGTACCGAGATATAGTGAGTACTTTTTTAAGTTTATAATAGCTTCTCTATTCACCTAATTATTTGAAATTACTTATAAAATTATTTCTGATGTACTCAAATATTTTGTAACAACAGTGCACTTTATTGTGATAAAAATAAACGGTCTACACATTTATGGAGTTTTTTGTTAAACTTCAGAATACAAGAATTGGTTGTCATATTACTCTAGATTCTCTGAGAAGCAGGCACCAAAATAAAATTTAATGAGAAAGAAATCTCACAGAGGAAAAACCTGTGAGAGAAAATGGGGAGAGAGCTAAGGGATGCTTACAGAGTCATTAAACCATGATACTGCTAAAAAAAAAAATAATAATAATAAAAGAGGGAGGTAAATTTTACTTAGTTGGTGTGGCAGCATTTCAAACTGCCATGTATACTTAAGGCAAGTTAGGCAGTTAGGCAAGGCAGATGAAGAGTCCTCAAGCCAAAGCTGTGCATCAGAGGACAGCTGCATCTCCCAGGAACAGGCCTGCGTTGGTATCCTGCCATACTCAATCTTTGGGAGTAGCCTGAGGTTGTCCATCAGCGCAAGAATCTATGTGAATTTCAAAGCACTGCTGCTAGGCCCTCGGACAGTTAAGCTCCCTGCAGCTAGAGACCTGAGAGGCACATTCTCATGGACATCATGGTTATATCAAATAGACAGTGTCCTTTGCAGAGCTAATAGAGCCAAGCCAAGTTCCTTACATTTAAATTTGTTCTATTCAGCCATAGGCATAAAGTGACAATTGATCTAAAGGTGCTTTCTGATATCTTGAAAATAACTCCAGGAACAGTGTGAATAAGAAGAGGCGAGAACCACCCCCGGACCGACCAAAGCCCGCGCGCCACTGCATCCCGTGCCCAGTGCCTACGTCCAGCCGCTGTCGCCGCCACCATGCCCAGGAGAAAGGCTGAAGGACATAAAGTCAAGGTGAAGGATGAACCACAGAGAAGATCCGCGAGGTTGTCTACTAAACCTGCTCCTCCAAAGCCAGAGCCTGAGCCTAAAAAGGCCCCTGCAAAGAAGACAGAGAAGGTACCCAAAGGGAAAAAAAGAAAAGCTGATGCAGGCAAGGAGGGGAATAAGCCTGCAGAAAAGAGAGATGCCAAAACAGACCAGGCACAGAAAGCTGAAGGTGCTGGAGATGCCAAGTGGAGTGTGTGCCTTTTTGACTGAGTGTGTACTTCTGGTGGCTGTACAGTTTGAAATACTATTCTGATCAAGTTTTATAAAAATGCAGAATCTTGTTTTACTTTTTTTAAGCTATGTTGTTAGCACACAGAACACTTCATTGGTATTTTAGGGGGAAGGGGCATATGTAACTAATAGAATGTCTCTGAAGCTGGATTGATGTAGGGAAAACATCTTTCTCTTCTAGTTTTGAGGGACTTCTTTTTGGCTCCCAGGAGGAGAGATTCCCTGATTTTGCACACACGTTCACCTTGGCACAAAAGCCTTGTGGTATGGAAAAACAAATTCATTTTTATGTCCTCACTCCCTTTCCATCTTTCAGCAGAGACTTAACTCCCTAAAACCCAGCCATCTGTTGGGACCTGACCCCCAATCCTTGGTAACCAGTGTGTCAGCCAATCTGGACTTCCAGTGATGCCACTGAGATGGCACCTGTCAAAAGAGCATTGGTTCCCGTTTCTAGATTGTGGATTTTAAGATAAATTCTGCCATTTTCATTTCACTTCCTGAAAGTCAGGGTCAGCTCATGAAAAGTTGTTAAACAACACACTAAATGTGAAATGTCAACCCTCACTCTAAACTTTCCCTGTTCAGAGCATCAGATGAAGACTTCATTGAGTTTTATAGTGGCTTTCTGATTTTTGGTAGTCCATTGAAGAAGGGAGTTTGAAAGTTGCTGTATACTGTTAACGACTGTCTGCCCACGTCCTGCCTGAAATACCATGATTGTTTATGGAAAGTATCTTTAATGAAGATGGATACAGTTTGGCTTTGGAAAAAAAAGAAAATAACTTCAATTTATCTTATGTACATAAGCAAAAATATTAGATTTAAAATTCTAGTATACATGAGACTTCAGGATGCTTTGCAAAATTCTCACTTTGTGAGGAGTTAGGTATTAAAACTGGACATGCTGAAGGACACATTTCAGTACATTCCAGGAAAGCCTTAACATGAAAACTTAACACTACAGCTACTTGCTGCTGAATGGTGTAACTTGGGCAACACAGAAGTAGGAAAAAGCTAAAGTGATGAAAATCACACCTGGAAGATTCCCAATGTATTGCGTGATACACAAGCAAAGACCAAATGTTGGGAACAATATAAAAAGTATAGTGTTTAATCCATTTATAAAAGAAATCTTGAAATTTAAATACAACAGATATATGTGATGATGTCATGGTCAATTTCTTTAGCAGTATTTATTACCTTCCTTTCATAGAAATTTCTATATTAAAAAATTAATTCAGGATCATCAAAATTATTCCAGTTCCTTGAATTTTCAGTCACTGCTGTGATTTCAGTGGCATGTTCATTCAATGAAAGAGTGAGCAAGATGCTCAAATGTTATGAAATGTCAATGACTATATATGGTGAGAAGAGAATAACTAATTTAGCAAAGCATCAAGACTTGGCTTTAAATTATTGCAACTGTCAAGTTCTGAGAAGAAAACAACAGCTGCCTAATGCCTACATTCAGGAATGGGGTTGTTCTGCAATCAAGACATCTGGGCAACCACAAGTCAGAAATAATTTTTCAAATAGTGACTAGTTTTTAAAATGTATTCTGTAGTAGCAAATCAAATAATCAATTTTATTAGTGCATTAATGTGGAACAAACTTTTGGTTTGTCTTCATGCAATTTATATTACAAAACTAATCAGTTCAACAAAAAATGGGGTGCCCACTGTTATTGTCAACTTCTTTCATGGCTGCATAGTATTTCTGGAAATATATACCAAGATAAATTGGGAGCAATAAGCATAATTTTATTACTTTTATTTGAAATAAAGGCTTACTCTATGAGAAAAGATAGTACTTTACCTGCTACAAAACATCTACATTGTGCTTTTTGATGGTTAGCAGATTTAATAAAAAGCTAATTGTTTCATGTCATAGTTGAGCAAAGTCAACTAAGAAACCTAATTGAAAAGATTTCAAGTCTTGGGGAGATAAAGAAAAGCCAAAAAAACCTAGTTTGAAAGTGGAATTTAGTGTGTTAAAATTTCAAAAGCAAAACATTTTGTAAAGCTTTGAGAAAAAAAATATAGTTTGGAACTTAAAAGAATAAATTTATGCTTCAGAAGTTTTGAAATACTATGGAAATGTAACATACTATTAATAAACAGTATACTCCCACAATTATTATCACAAATATAATATACCCGACAATCAGAATAAAATTCAAAGACTGCAACTTGAAAACCTCTCACAATTACTACTAAAAGGAAAATCAGTGTGCTTTTAGAATATAATATTTTAGAAAATTGCTTATAAATATTAAAAGAAGCAGGTGCAGTAGTTTTCTTTGTCATAAATTAGAAGAGTCAATCTCTTATGCTTTTCAGTTTACATTATTGCTTCCATTTAAATCCTGAGCAAATTTTAGAAAAAAAAATTAAAAAGAGATGCTTAATGGTTGAAAACTCTATGACAGAGGTAACTGAATTTTAAAACTGACTTCTTCAAGTCAAAGGGCCATAGGAGATTATTTCAACTCTTTTGAATTAAAAATCTTTTATTGAAGGTCTCTGACACAAGGACCCAATTGAAACTTTTCAAAAAAATATTTAAAGTTGGTAACCAGATGTAATGCTAATATAGAAACATAACTAAGAGCTTATCCTTTCCCCCTTATCTTTAAGGAAAATATGAAACAAATTTGCAGAAGAAAATAGCAGATAGCTTCCTCGAAGGCAAATTTTCATTCCAATTTTACTAGATCTTAGCTACAGTTTGCAAAATTCACTTCTGATGTTTTATGCTAAGCACATCTGTTGTTAGTAGCTGGAAGACAAGCATGCTCATTTTTTTAGAAGTCTATATAAATGGAAAAGAGTGGCATTATGCAAAGGCTTTTAAAAGTATCACTTAGGATAAAATGAGAGCTGTTTAGTCCTTGTAAGCATATTCAAGAAGAATTTCTCTCTGAGCCTCAAAGCAGATTTCTGTAAATTATTTTACCCTAAGAGATGTGAATCCCTCTTGTGGATTAAAAACAGAACACTTCACAAAGGTTTAGATTCCAATAATCAGGTACCTACACACTATAACGAACTATATAAATAATTAGATCAACTGAAATAATTTAAAAAGTAAATTTGAATTATTTGGTTACATTATTTAACAAATTTGAGGGATATTGCAGTAACTAATACATTTAACAAATAAAATAATAAAATATACCTCCAAAGTAGGTGTCATTACTGGCTCTAAATAGTATTAACCAACTGAGAAAAATACCGACTTTTCTTTAATAGTGAACTCAAATAATATTGGAGGGCTGTGTGTGTGGGGTGTGGAGTGGGGAGTGGTATATGACTTACCTTACATTAAATATGTTTGTCTACCACAGGTCTTTAGAGCAAGGTGAATCAGTCTCTTCAGTATTCAACATATTCCACTATTGTAAGCCTCTTTAAGAAGATACTGAGAGGTGACAGCGTGTTGGCCGACCTCACAGCCCACGCTCGCTCTCCGGGCCTCCTCCGCCTTGGCGCCCACTCTGGCCGCGCTTGAGGAGCCCTTCAGCCCACCGCTGCACTGTGGGAGCCCCTTTCTGGGCTGGCCAAGGCCGGAGCCGGCTCCCTCACCTTGCGGGGAGGTGTGGAGGGAGAGGCGCCGAGGGAGAGGCGCCGGCGGGAACCCGGGCTGCGCGGCGCTTGCGGGCCCGCGCAAGTTCCGGGTGGGCGTGGCCTCGGCAGGCCCGGCACTCAGAGCGGCCAGCCCGCCGCCGCGGCAGTGAGGGGCTTAGCACCTGGGCCAGCAGCTGCTGTGCTCGACTTCTCGTCGGGCCTTAGCTGCCTCCCGGCGGGGCAGGGCTCGGGACCCGCAGCCCGCCATGCCTGAGCCTCCCCCGCCGTGGGCTCCTGCGCGGCCAGAGCCTCCGCGACGAGCGCCACCCCCTGCTCCACGGCGCCCAGTCCCATCGACCACCCAAGGGCTGAGGAGTGCGGGCGCACGGCGCAGGACTGGCAGGCAGCTACACCTGCGACCCCCGCGAGGGATGCACTGGGTGAAGCCAGCTGGGCTTCTGAGTCTCGTGGGGACTTGGAGAACCTTTATGTCTAGCAAAGGGGTTGCAAATACACCAATTGGCACTCAGTAGTATCTAGCTCAACGTTTGTAAACACACCAATCAGCACCCTGTGTCTAGCTCAGGGTTTGTGAATGCACCAATCCACACTCTGTATCTAGCTACTCTGGTGGGGACTTGGAGAACCTTTGTGTGGACACTCTGTATCTAGCTAATCTAGTGGGGACCTGGAGAACTTTTGTGTGGACACTCTGTATCTAGCTAATCTAGTGGGGACCTGGAGAACTTTTGTGTCTAGCTCAGGGATTGTAAATGCAACAATCAGCACCCTGTCAAAACGGACCAATCAGCTCTCTGTAAAATGGACCAATCAGCAGGATGTGGGTGGGGCCAGATAAGAATAAAAGCAGGCTGCCCTTGCCAGCAGTGGCAACCAGCTGAGGTTCTCTTCGACATTGTGGAAGCATTGTTCATTTGCTCTTTGCAATAAACCTTGCTGCTGCTCACTCTTTGGGTCCACATTGCCTTTATGAGCTGTAACACCACAGAGGTCTGCAGCTTCACTCCTGAGCTAGCCAGACCACGAACCCACTAGAAGGAAGAAACTCCGAACACATCCGAACATCAGAAGGAAGAAATAAACTCCAGACATGCTGCCTTTAAGAACTGTAACACTCACCACGAGGGTCCGCGGCTTCATTCTTGAAGTCAATGAGACCAAGAACCCACCAATTCCGGACACAATACCATTTAAGTTTAGAACCTAACAATTACAAGGAGCCAGACACATGAGGAGGATAAGGTATTATGGAGAGAAGAATCATTCTAAGCAGAGGGAAAAAAGTCTTGCAAAGGTCCAGGAGCCGGAAAGTGGTTTGCACTTGCTGGTTTAAAAAAGGGCAATGTGGCTAGGCAGTGGCTTTCAAAATACTTGACCCAGACCCACAGTAAAAAAATTAATTTTACATTGTCACCTAATACACACCTAGAGACACCAGACAGAGACACACACTTACACATGTATAGCTTAGAGTTTTATGAAGCATTATTCTCTTACTACATGTTATGCACTTTTACCTTTGTTTCTATTCCTTTAATTTTGTTTTGTTCTCTCTGTCTATCTCTCTCTCCCCTCTCTCTCTCTCTCTCTCTCTCAACACAGACAGGCCCTTGAGTTGACTTCACAACCCACCGATGGGTCAGCTTGCATTTTGTGAAACAAAGGAATAGGGAAGAGTGTGGTAGAGACTGATGTAACACGATGCGGGCAAAGCCAGCAGATGCCAGAGTGGATAGGGTGTGTAGGACACTAAAAGGGGTTTTCTTTATCAGCTATACTAGGGTGCCAGATTTAGCTAATAAAAATAGAAGCTGCCTAATTAAATTGGAATTTTAGATAATTACTTTTGGTATAATTTGTCTCATCCAACACTTGTTCTGCAATGATATAATACTTAAAACATAACACTTGTCCTATGTTTTGCCTTGCAATCCTTTTCTAAGGGTGATGAGAAGACATTATAAAATTTTACTTTAGAGTGATTAATGGAGAGATAAATAATCTGATCTTTTAAAAAGTTGCCTCAAGTTGCCATGGGGTGAATTATTAATAGTTACAGAGGCAAGAAAAGCTTAGGTAGCTGGCTGTTGTAAGAAGAGCTATTATTTCCTTCAGGGAGTGGGACAGTGACCCGTGGAGCCCAGAATATTGGTTTCATATTATTTAGTATAGTGAGTTGCAGAAATATGCCACGTTTCAGAGAAAAAGAAAAAACTAATTGAAATAAGTGTGCTTATTCTATACTAACATACTCATTATATAGTCATTAAATTGTAATGTTTATTTCTCAAAATAGCATTAATTAAAATATTATCAACATAATGAACACAAACTTTTACAATTCTAATTGAAGAACATCATTCTCCCCGCTCCTCACACTTGGCTAACCTAGCTCCACTGAGAAGGACCTCAGCATTCTTCCAATGCCCTGGGACTGAAGTTGGGAGGTTTGTACATGGTCTCAACCCTAAAAAAAGAAAATTGCCCCCTGAACTGTGAAAAATAAATCTCTGTTCTTTATACATGTAACAACAACAATAAAAAAGTTAAAATGAACCCAGACTGATAATCACCAAGACCTCCCCAGAACAGCTTGTGAGATTGTATTAGTAGATGACACTGAGGTTTGGGGGAGCATTTTAGAATGGAATTTTTTATGTGGTAACATGTTTTACAGATAAATTATATAGTGTGGTCTTGATTCAAATGCTTTTGGTTTAAATTATCTTTTATATAATATTGACAAAATCTTATTAGATGTCTTGGCTTCTTAGATGGTATGTCGAATCATAGTTGTGTATTTAGTACAGTAATCACACAGTCATTCAAATGTGGATTTTTCCTTTTATATTTTTCATAATTTTTTTTTCTGACTTTTATATTCAGGGGTACATGTGCAAGTTTGTTATATGGGTAAACTCATGCCACAGTGGTTTATTGTACCGATTATTTTGTCACCCAGATACTAAGCCTAACACCCAATAGTTGTTTTTTCTGTTCCTTTCCCTCCTTCTACCCTCCACCCTCAGATAGGCCCCAGTGTGTGCTGTTCCCATCTTTGTGTCCATGCGTTCTCATCATTTAGCTCCCACTTATAAGTGAGAGCATGTGGTATTTGGTTTTTCTGATCCTGCATTAGTTTGCTAAGAATGATGACCTCCAGCTCCATCCATGTTATTGAAAAGAACAAGATCTCATTCTTTTTTATGGGTGCATAGTATTCCACACTGTATATGTACCACATTTTCTTTATCCAGTCTACTATTGATAGGTATTTAGTTTGATTCCATGTATTTACTATTGTGAATACTGCTGAAATGAACTTTTGCATGCATGTGTCTTTGTGGTAGAATGATTTATATTCCTTTGGGTATATACCCAGTAATGGGATTGCTGGGTTGAGTGGTAGTTCTGTTTTTAGCTCTTTGAGGAGTTGTCACACTGCTTTCCACAATGGCTGAGCAAATTTACACTTGAAGTTGTTTATCTGCTGAAGGAGATTTTGGGCTGAGACTGGGATTTTCTAGATATAAAATCATGTCATCTTCAAGCAGGGATTGTTTGACTTTCTCTCTTCCCATTTGTTTGCCATTTATTTCTTTCTCTTCCATGATTACTCTGTCTGGGACTTCCAATACTATGTTGAATGGGAGTGATAAGATAGGGCATCCTTATCTTGTGCTGGTGTTTAAGGAGAATGCTTCCAGCTTTTGCTCATTCAGTACGATGTTGGCTATAGATTTGTCATATATGGCTCTTATGATTTTGAGGTATATTTCTTCAATACATAGTTTATTAAGAGTTTTTAACATAAAAGGATGTTAAATTGTATCAAATGTCTTTTCTGCATCTATTGAAATAATCATGTTGATTTTTGTCTTTAGTTCTGTCCATGTGATGAATCACATTTATTGATTTGCATACTTTGAACCAAGCTTACATCCCAGGAATTAAGCCTACTTGATTGTGGTGGATAAGCATTTTGATGTGGATCTGGATTCAGTTTGCAAGTATTTTGTCAAAGATTTTTGCATTAATGTTCATCAAGTATATTGGCCTGAGGTTTTCTTTTTTGTGTTGTGTCTTTGCCTGGCTTTGGTATCAGAATGAGGCTGGCCTCATAGAAAGAGTTGGAGAGGAGTTTGTCCTCCTTAATTTTTTGGAAGAGTTTGAGCAAGAATGGTAGCAGCAGCTCTTCTTTGTACATTTGCTACAATTCAAATGTGAATCTATCTGGTTCTGAGATTTTTTTGGTTGATAGGCTACTTATCACTGATTTAATTTTGAAGCTTGTTATTGGTCTGTTCAGGGAATCAATTTCTTGCTGTTTCAATCTTGGGAGGGTGTATGTGTCCAGGAATTTATGTAGCTCTTTGCGGTTTTCTAGTTTGTGTGCATAGAGGGGTTCATAGTATTCTGCAATGGTTATTTGTACTTCTGTGGGGTCAGTGGTAACATCCTCTTTGTTGGTTCTGATTATGTTTATTTGGATCTTCTCTCTTTTCTTTTTTATTAATCTAGCCAGCGGCCTTTTTATCTTATAATTTTTTTTTTCAAAAAAACAAGTCCTGAATTTGTTGGTCTTTTGAATGGTTTTCCATGTCTCGATCTCCTTCAGTTCAGCTTTGATTTTGGTTATTTCTTGTTTTCTTCTAGATTTGGGGTTGTTTTGCTCTTTATTCTCTAGTTCTTTTAATTGTGATGCTAGCTTATTAAATTTAGATCTTTCTAACTTTTTGACGTAGGTGTTTAGAGCTATAAATTTCCCTCTTAACACTGCCTTAGCTATGTCACAGAGATTATGGTATGATTTATCTTTGTTCTCATTCGTTTCAAAGCATTTCTTGACTTCTGCCTTAATTTCATTATCTACCAAATTCTGAAAGTCATTCTGAAGCAGGTTGTATAATTTCTATGTAATTTCATGGTGTTGAATGATTTTTTTTAGCTTTGATTTCTATTTTTTATTGCACTGTGGTCCAAGAGTGGGTCTGATATGATTTTGGTTCTTCTGCATTTGCTGAGAATTGTTTTATGTTTGATTGTGTGGTCAATTCTAGAGTATGTGTCCTGTGCAGATGAGAAGAATGTATATTTTGTTGTTTTTGGGTGGAGAGTTATATAGAGGTCTATCAGATTCATTTGATCCAATGTTGAGTTCAGGTCCTGAATATCTTTGTTGATTCTCAGCCTCAGTGATCTGTCTATTACTTAAGTGGAGTGTTTAAGTCTCCCACTATTATTGTGTGGAAGTCTAAGTCTCTTCATGGGTCTCTGGGAACTTGCTTTATGAATATGGGTGCTCCTGTGTTGGGTGCATATATACTTATTATAGTTAGGTCTTCTTGTTGAATTGAACCCTGGGCCATTATGTAATGCCCTTCTTTGTTTTTTTTGATCTTTGTTGGTGTAAAGCCTGTTTTGTCTGAAATTAAGATTGTAACCCCTGCTTTTTTTCTGATTTCTTTTTGCTTGGTAGATTTTTATCCATCCCTTTATTATGAGCCTATGTGTGTCATTGTGTTTGAGATGGCTCTCTTGAAGACAGCATACTATTGGGTCTTGCTTTTATAGACAGCTTGCCACTCTGTAACTTTAAATTGGGCATTTAGCTCATTTACATTCAAGGTAGGATTGATATGTGTGAATTTGATCCTGTCATTGTGTTGTTACCTAGTTATTGTGCCAGCTTATTTATTTGGTAGCTTTATAGTGTCACTGGTCTTTCTACTTACATGTTTTTTTGTCTTGGCTGGTAACAATCTTTCCTTTCCATATTTAGTACCCCTTTCAATATCGCTTGTAAGGTGGATCTGGTGGTAACAAACTCTTTTAGCATTTGCTTATCTGAAAAGCATCTTATTTTTCCTTTGCTGAGGAAGCTTAGTTTGGCTGGACATGAAAATCTAGGTTGAAGATTTCTTTCTATAAGAATGTTGAATATAGGTCCTCAATCTCTTCTGGCTTGCAGGGTTTTTTGCTGAGAGGTCCATTGTTATCCTGATGGGGTTCCCTTTATGAGTGACCTGCCTTTTCTCTCTAGCTGCCTTTAATGTTCTGTCTTTCATTTCAACCTTGGAAAATCTGATAACTAAGTGTGTTGGAGATAATCTTCTTGTGTAGAATCTTGTAGTGGTTCTCTGTATTTCCTGAATTTGATTATTGGCCTCTCTAGCTAGGTTGGGAAAGTTTTCATGGATGGTATCGTGAAATATCCTTTCCAAGTTTTTTACTTTCTACCTATCCCTTTCAGGGATGCCAACTATTCATAGATTTGGTGTCTTTACATAATTCCACATTTCTTGGAGTTTTTTGTTCATTGCTTTTCCTTTTTTTTTTTTTTTTTCTTACCATCTTATTTCAATTCAGAGAGCCAGTCTTCAAGTTCTGAGATTCTTTACTCAGCTTGGTCTATTCTGCTGTTAAATTTGCGATCGCATTGTGAAATTCCTGGAGTGTGTTTTTCAGCTCTATCAGATCAGTTAGGTTCTTTTTTATACTGGCTATTTTGTTGTCAGCTCCTGTATTATTTTATTGTGATTCTTCATTTTCGTGGATTGGGTTTTGTCATTCTCCTGAATTTCAGTGATCTTCATTCTTATCTGTATTCTGGATTCTGTTTCTATCATTTCAGCCAACTCAGCCTCATTAAGAACTTTTGTTAGAGAAGTACTGTGGCCATTTTGAGGACATAAAACACTGGCAATTAGAGTTGCTGGAGTTTGCACTGATTCTTTCTCATCTCTGCATGTGGGCGTTCCTTAACACTGCTGGGCTGCCTGTGATTGAAGTGGTCAGGTTTGGGCAAGGTGGTTATTCTGGAGTCTTAATTTGGGCAGCCCTGCCCAATGAGAAGAAATGAGAACCAGGACCTGCAGGGAGAACAGTTCAGCCAACAGAGGAGAAACTTAGAGGCTGGTTAGGCAGATAGGGAGGGAGGGTTTCAGGAGTGGAAAAATACCTGCAGGACCACACCTGCACAACCCCTATACCTAGTGGAAAGAAATGTGGTTAAGAATTTCCTCTTATGCCAGGATCTTGCTCAGAAGGGAATGTCCCAGCCTAGGCACGGGGACAATATATCAACCTAACTGTCCTTAATTTGACTCAACTCATTAAATGTCATTAACATGACATTAGCATTGTGGTTTTAGCACCTCCATGAGTTTTTCTTAGGCTTTCATGGGTAATAACCAAGATGGACTCACTCTGGCCAATCCCAGGCATACGCAGATGCAACATCCTTAGGAAGGAATTTGCCCCTCCCATTTTGGGCAGATCCCACAGAAGACTTCCTTCTCTTTACCACTTAAAAGACCCAAAATTCAGCCCCATTTCCGGCAACCTGCTTTCAGGCCCCCTTTCTTTGCTGAGAGCTTCCCTTTTGCTTAAAAATCCTACTCCATGCACTCTCTGGTGTCTGCATGCCTTATTCTCCTTGGTTGTGGAACAAGAACTCAGACCTAACTAAACTAGGGACTAAGTAGGCTGTAACACAGCCACTTTTCTGTGCAATGGGTGCACGGTGTGGGGTTCCACACCATTCCCACGTCCCGTGGACTCTGCAGAGCCTGGAGACAGCAAGGGTGAGGGCTTCAAGAGAGCAAAGATGGCAACCTGCCCCTTCCACAGGGAGCTCTGTCCCAGGGAGTTGCAGAGCTGCTACTGGCTTGATAGTCCCAGTTCAAAGGCGGCTTGTGAGAGAGGGTACCTGGATACCCAGGCCAGTAAGTAGATACGCGATCAGGGTCCCATGTTACAAACAATCTGGCCACTTTTTTACAGGGCTACTTCAGTGTGCTGGGGGTCCATTCCAGTCCCTAGTCACCTTGAATTATCCAGTTCCTGAAGGTATTAGCAGTGAAGACTTAAAAAAAAATTCATAATTCTAACAAAAATAATTTTATAGAATCATACGCTTGGAGCAGTGATAGCCTTATATCTTGAATGGCAACATTTTAGTTTAATAATGTAATGTTGTATCAGCATCCCTTCAACTAGATTTTGGAAATTTAACTAATTCTAATTTAGAGAGACTTACTTTCACTGCATAATTATCCATGAAATCACTAGGATTTCTCTGCATCCTTTAAAAGGATGAGAATAAAATACTTAAGCCCTATGAAGTAAGTTAAACAAAAAAATCAATCTATTGTTCTTGAAAACTTAACTAGCATCAGCTGAAATAGCATAAGAAAATCACTGAGACCAATTGAAATGTAGATGGTGAAAAGTTTATTCAAATATCAAAATTAATTCAAATATAGCCATTCTGAATCCGTTGTAATCTTAAAAGATAATGTCTGTATGCTTTAAATACAATGAGTGGCATCTCAGGCATGATAGTAAATAATAGAAGTTTTCTCCTGTAACTGTAATAATTTATAAACTTGTTAATATCAAATATGTTTTTGACATTGGCGTTTTATAAGAACACAATAATGCATTATATGTAGAAGTTCAATTGAGTCATAAGCTATTTCCATATGTCTATTATGCTTAATAAATGTAGTTATAATAGCATTTTTTACATTAAATTGAAGCCACATTTCACTTCACTAAGCATTCAGAATATAGATTACTTCAGAATTAGAGTAATTCTAATCTACATACTTCCCTCCCCAGGAATTTTCTATTTAAAGTGAATCCAGGTACATATTTTCCTTCTCTAATATTAATAAAGTCTCATGTTTGTCAATAATGAGTGTTCATAATTATTCATACCTGTGGGAAGTTGACATACACTTCTGATAAAGATTGTATTGCCAGTTATTTAAAACTATCCCTTGTTTTAAGTCACCTCAGAGATCTCTAAAAAAAAATTTAGGTAAACTTACACACATCACATTTGTCAAAAATCACTGAAAAATCCTGCAGTGTGATATAATTCAGTTTGTTCCAATATAAATGATCTTATTTTTGTAAACTGAAGTTAGTAGAATTTTTCTTTATTCAAATATTGATGTATTATAAATTTATTTTTTGATCCAAATATTTTAAAGCTAATCCATGATCAGTATAATCAACATATGAGTCTAATTTTTTATATATAAAATAGCTGTAATTACACATAATGGGACTAAAAGGAAAGTTTTAGTAATTCCTGAAAATCAAAATGATTAAATTATCTAATTTCAATGATTATGGATTAACAACTGCTTACCAAGTCAATTACTGTGTTTTAATTCCTTTATCTCACTTGGGAAGGGAGGTTTGTTGTTAACCCACTACTTCAAAAATCTAGGATCCGTGGTAAATGTGAAAAAATGACCTGTTGCTCTGATTATTTCCTTTCTATCTGCTTTTCCTGCAATATAAGAGAGAACATTTTGAGATCAGTATATATTTCCATTAATTTTCATCAGGCAGCTGCATATGAAAAATATAGAAAGTCATTTTAATTTTGTTTTGTTTGTTTTAGACTTTATTTCCTAGTGATGAGACATTTTAGTTTTGTTGAAAAAAGTTAACAACATGTAAAACCTTCAGAATAGTTTTTATGTGAGTAGTCTATATGAGACTTCCCTCACACACACACTATCGTGCATTGCATAATATAATTCAATATATGATATCTTTCATTAATAGATAACATTTAATAGGTCAATACGTTAATAGATTAACAGAGCGTCCAAAATCTCCCAGTTGAGAAAGCTAGAGTTTCTCAAATACTTCTACTTTGGAATGCAGAATTTCATCTCTTGAAATCTACAACTGATAGTAATGCTATCAAGTGTATAGATATATTAGCAACTTTGACAACTGTAGTTATAGAATGAATGACAAAAATTAGCCTCAAGGGCATTCATGTCAATATTTGTAATGTGAAACACTTGACAGAAAATGTACATGATCAACAATTAGAAATTATGGTACAAGTAAAATAAGACATTGAAAAAACTTTTAAAAACCAAGCTACAAAACAGTCTTTATAAAATTAACATATTTCAAGGGGAAAATGCATATTTGTCCTTGTCTAAAAAGACAAACACAAAAATGTTAAAAACAGATTATTATCTGTGAGTAAATTATGAGTGTTTCATTTATTCTTTTTTGTGTATTTTCTCACTATATTTCTAGGAGGCTATAACATCTGTAAACTTTTACAAATCAATTGAAGAGATTTTATAAAAAGTGATTTTCTAGCTATGAAATATTGCCTTTGCCAATAAAATCTTGAAAACAAAAAAGGTTATTTCTTTATAAACCTAGAAGCTAAATATGTTGGCTCCTTTCTGTCACTAAGGATAATATAAATTGTTTCCTGCGCATATACATTTTATCATCTGCTTAGAATATCATATTTAATACATGTGAGTGCTAGCCATTCAATATTGTCAATTTGATTACTTCATTTATTACAACCTAACAAATTTTTAAGGTAGCCCTTCCCTAAATCCCAATTTTAAGGAAAAAAATTACATAAAAACACTATATTAATCATGGTTTGCTTAAAGAAATTAATCTTATTGTAGAAATACTAAATATAACATTTCCCATCAAAGACTACTATATTATTAATTACTTGAGGATAATATGCAAAACATTTAAATCAGAAAGTGTGTTTTAGTAGAAAAATATCTTAGGCTAATTTTCAGAAAACTTGAATTGTAATTCTATTTTGAAATAAGGAGATTGATTTTCCACATAAGTGATATTCATCTTTATAAAAATTAGTTTCTTTACCTGGAAAATAAAGTTCATATATTTCTAGAATTATTGCCCATAAAGGTACAAATTTTTCTTTGCCTGATAATAATGTTAAATTTCCTGATTAGTGTTTCATATAATCTTGATAATAATTAATGATCTAGCTTTTACAGTTGTTCTCAGTTTGACTAAGCCATGTATACATTGAGCATCTGAAAATACAAAATTCAAAATGTTCCAGAATCTGAAACTCTTTGAGTACCTACAGGATGCCCCAAGTGGAAAATTCCACACCTGACTTCATGTGACAGGTCATAGCCAAAAATTTATTCCATGCAACAAAGTTATTAAAAATATTGTATAAAATTACCTTCAGGTTATGTGTTACAGGAGTATGAGTTTATGAAACAAAAATAAATTTTGTGTTTAAATTTGCGTCCCATCTCTAAGGTATCTGATTATATATATATGCAAATATTCTAAAATATGAAAAAACAAAATCTGAAACACTTCTGGTCCCAAGTATATCAAAGAATGAATATTCAACCTGTATTTTATTCTGTATGTATTTGGCAATTCTATTATTACACTATTTTATTCATATTCTTTTTTACTTTTAAAAATTTATTTTTTTTACTTTTTACATAACTTAGTATCACAACAGGATTTTGCATTTTTGTTTTGGTTCATATTTTAGCAATCTTTTTGGGTAGCTTGGTTTCTCCAGGAATCAGAAATGTTATATTTCATACATTGTTACAGAGAACTAGGAAGTGTAAACAAGTCATGAATTATTTAACTCTTCAGATATGATTTGCATTTCCCTAATGATTAATGATTTGAGCATTTTTCATATATCTATTGGCCATCTGTATGTATTCTTTTGATAAATGTCTATTCAGATAATTTGTTCTATGCAAGTATGAAAATATCACATGTACCTCAAATATATACAATCATTATATATCAATAAAAGATATGAGCACTTCCTCTGTCTACAATTTGTCTCCAGAGCAATATTTCTTATATCAGATAAACTAAAAGAGATCAACATTTGAACATATTAAGGCTAATTTCAATATTTGTACAATTTGTTTTCCTAAAAGCCATATAATGCATTTTAATACTTACTGTTATATGCTTATTTTTTCTTTATAACATATTTTTCAATTTTTAGCAATAGGACCAAACTCTCCAATAGCAACAGACTAAATAGGTGAGCACAGTTTAATTTCTGCTACATATTAATTTTTGAAAATATTATATATAGGCTTAAAATATGTGGAACTTTTTGTTTTGGAAAAAATAGGCCTAAATCCTTTTCAAGATATTACATACTCATTAATCTGTATAATTTGTGTCTTAAGGACACCAATGTGGAGATTTTGTAACTTAAAACATGGTTCAGCCTGATTTTAAAATAAAGATGTCTTTCAAAAAAGAAGAAACACAGAGCAGAATCAGCATAGGAAATGATAGCAGGTCTTCCTTCAATCATACAATAAATTTAAAGCAAATGGCAATGATATGTTAGGGCAAAACACACACAAAAAAGAAAGGAGACAGCAGGAAATAAACAAATTAAGACATCTCATGATGGTATGCTAGCCTATCAAAAGGAGAAGGAAGTATTACTGTCAGACCATATATATGTACAGGTTTTCCAAATTATAGGTTTGGGAGTAATAAAACATGAAACAGACATGAGTCCCTTTGAGAGGAATGATTTTTATATGAAGAAAACTAGGACACTTCTGAAGAGCCTGAGTGTACTTGAAAGTAAAGACTTGCCATCTTTGGATAGGAAGAATTAAAATCACACAGAAGTCAATAAACTCTAACAATTTATGAATTCAAAATAGACTCCTACAGAATACCAATAAGTATTTTTATGAAAGCAAACAAGTAGATTTTGATGTTGCTATGGAAAAAAATGTATAAGTAAGAACAGGGAAAAATTGTAAAATAAATAAAATAAGAATAGCCTTACTAGATAGGACAATACACTATAAAGCCTCAAAACTTAATAGTATTGGCACATAAAAAGAGAGAAAATGAAACAGGAATATTATGGCCCACAATTGGGAATCTAGTACATGTTAAAGACAAACTTTCAAATCAGTAAGCTAAAGATGGACTCTCAAATGTCAGGTCAAATAGGTATAATTTGTAAAAGAAATAAAGATTAGCTTAACTCATGCTTCACACCATACACCCACATAAACTACAAATGAACTGTGAATACAAGTAAAGAAACTATAAAGCCAACTGGGTGCAGTCACTCATGCCTGTAATCCCAACTTTGGGAGGCTGAGGCAGGAGAATCACTTGAGCCTAGGAGTTTGAGACCAGCCTGGGCAACATAGTGAGACCCCATCTCTACAAATAATAACTTTAAAAAACCAAGTGTGGTGGCATGTGCCTGCAGTCCCAGCTACTTGGGAGGCTTAGGCAAGAGGATCACTTGAGTTCAGGAAGTGGAGGCTGCAGTGATCTTTGATCTCACCACCGTAATCCAGCCTGGGCAACAGAATGAGACCCTGTCTCAATAAAACAAATAAACAAACAAACAAACAAAAACTATGAAGTCCTTATTAATTTTGTTGTATGGGAAACCTTTTAAATAAAACTTACCTAAGTTCAGATCCCATGAAAAGATAAATTTGATTATATTAAATCCTAAGACATTCATAGTGGAAAATGATGTCATCAAGGTCAAAGAACAAATAACAATGTTATATAAAACCATTATACAGATAGTAGATAGGAAACTGTACATGTATGTAGTGCCAAAGTATTATTGTACAAATTGCTTTCAAGTTATAGAGTGGAGCACCAAGCAGTGCAACCGAGCATTACATGGTCATCACCAAAAATTTAGTGTTCAAGCTTAGCATCAGTAATGGTGGTTCAAGCATGTTATGAGCCTCCTTGGCTGATGCAATATGAAGTCCACAATATCACCTTGAAGACATTCAAGAAACAAACAAAAACTTGAATCCAACAAGTTTTCAGATGCACATTCATATTTGCAGAAAACACAGGGATAGAAAAATACGTCATGCAATATCTCAAGGAAACAACCAGACAAATTGAGAAAATACATCAATCTGCAGGGCGACCAGCCTAGTCTGTTTCTCAAGTCTTTGAAACAAAAACTGAGCCAAAAAATAAAAATATTGTCCCAGGGGAAAAAATGTTAACAAACTTCTGGAGAAGTTGATTGAACAAATTTATGTACACACAATCACATACATACACCATACATACACACACACTTGCACACACACACACACACACACACATATATATAGTTGTTTTTTTTTAAAGAGAGAGAGAGACTTAAGGGACATAATAAGTAAGCACATATGAGCCTGGATTGAATCTGGCTTAGCTAATACAGCTATGAAGGATAGTTTGAGTAAAATTGAAGAAGTCTGAATCTATAAAGTGAATATATTAATATGCAAAAATAGTGATAATGAAAACAAGCAAATTGCAAAACAACTGGAAACTCTGATCTCATGCATATAATTATGTATATACATATGTAGAAAATTTAAGTATACATAAGTTTTTGAGGATATCAATAAGGTTTTAAGACTAAAACTACGTGTATGATCAATACAGATTTTACTTGTTTACTTTTGCTTATTATTTTTATCTTTTCACATTTAAAATGCATAAATTTTATAATAATAAAATGCTGCTTTTAGTCTTTTTGAAAAATGCATTGGTTCTAAAATGTCAAAAACACTGTTCCTTTTTAATTTTTATTTTAGGTTCAAGGGTACATGTAAAGGTTTGTAATGTACGTAAACTCGTGTCACAGGGGCTTATTGTAACAGATTATTTTATCACCCAGGTATTAAGCCAAGTACCAAATAGTTATTTTTTCTGACCCTCTCCACCCTCTCACCCTCCACCCTCATGTAGACCCCATTGTCTGTTGTTCCCTTCTTTGTGTTTATGAGTTTTCATCACTTAGCTCCCACTTGTAAATGAGAACATGCAGTATTTGATGTTCTCTTCCTTTGTTAGTTTGCTAATGATCATAGCAAACTACAGCTTCACCCATGTTCCCACAAAAGACATAATCCATTCTTTTTTATAGCTTCACAGTATTCCCAGTTGTATATGTACCACATTTTCTTTATCCAATCTGTCATTGACAGACATTTAGGTCAATTCCATGTCTTTGCTATTGTGAATAGTGAGGCCACGAACATTTGTGTGCATGTGTCTTTAGGGTAGAATGATTAATATTCCTCTGGATATATACCCAGTAATGGGATTCCTAGGTCAAATGGTAGTCCTGTTTTTAGCTCTTTAAGGAATCACCATACTGCTTTCCACAATGGTTGAACAGATTTACACTCCCACCAACAGTATGTAAGTGTTCCTTTTTCTCCACAACATCACCAGTATCTGTTATTTTTTGTACTTTTTGTAATTGCCATTCTGATTGGTGTGAGATGGTATCTCATTGTGGTTTTGATTTGCATTTCTCTAATGATCAGTAATATTAAGCGTTTTTCATACGTTTGTTGGCTGGATGTATGTCTTCTTTTGAAAAGTGCCTGTTCACGTTCTTTGCCCATTTTTAATAGGGTTATTTTAAAAACCCTTCATTTAAACATTGTGTTATGTCCATTGGTCATCCACCTGAAGAAATATATAGGTATCTTTAACATGTGATTTATAATTCTCCTATTTCACAAGATGCAGTTGTGTATGTTTTCATAAGATTTCAAAACCTGAAGAGGAGCAACTGTAAAAGTCAAATTGTTGCACATTTTATAGGATAATTTGATTTTGATCTGCATAGGAACAAGAATTCTAGCAGAACTGTTGAAGTTTTTAAAATTCTGTTGTCCTTATTTTCCTCCCACTTCTGTGTTTTAAACTTTAATATTTTGAGGTGAGGAAATGATTATTTTATGCACATTTGAGGTACTTTGTCTTACTTTCCTGGGCTTCTTGATTTTGTGAGCAGTTTTGTCTTTTCCCAGGACTTAGGTCATGTAGTTTGCCCTCATAAATATTTAAATAGGCATTAATAATATTATTCACATATATTTAATAGCAGCGCTTCATAAAAGTAGAGCTGCTGCCACCTATAAATCTAAGTGACACCTTTTGATGGATAGTGTTTTGAGAGGAGCTGTAAAGAACAAAGTAGCAGGCTGACAGCTGCAGTAAAGCAAGCATACCTTCGTCCCAGGACAGGCCAGTGGTTGCCACTGGAGGTACAGTCTCCAGGTGGTTTCATTTATCTCTCTGATACCTTTCAAATACCTCTCTAGCAAAATGCCTCAAGCCAAAACACTCAGATTTCCAGGTGTGGTCTTATTAGGAGGATACTGTAGAGGTGTGCACAGCATTTTCAGGAAATAGTTCCAAAAAATCATATTTTTAGGGGAATAGTTTAATCATTTGCCTTCCAAAAGTTGTCTTCCAACAACTTCAGTTAATCTTGTGTGGTCTGAATCATTCAGTATCCATCAAACATTCAGGATCAAAAGGAAATTATCTTTAATCATGCTTTCCACTCTAAGAATAATCAGATTATAGGGACTCAATTTTAAACTTAAATTCTAATGGAAATGAAATGTATAGAATAGTTTACCAGAATTATTTTTATTTGCTAAATGAAACCTGTTCAAACAAAAATCTCCCTGTGGAAACATTTATGGTGCCTATGAGTGTTTCCTCATGTTCCCCCAAAATATGCTTTACTGGTAGCCAAGAATGAAAAGTAAAATCACACACACACACAAACACACACACACACACAAATGTACTTTCTCTCCATGAAAGTAACAGGATTCACAATTATATTGCATGATAATCGTCCACACATATTACAAAGAACAGACAGGCAAAATCGCTTGCTGAATGTAATCTCCTCTAGTTTCTTTCTCCTTCTCCCTATGGATGTGCTCTAGTCAGTGTGTGTTTTGCAGCTGTATCTGCTCCAATGTGGGGGAAGCTGGGAAAAGATATTAAAGAGCTTAAAGAAGAGAAGGAAAAGGTGAATGGAGATGGATGGTTTCTGTTTTGAATTAATAGAAAAACTAGCAGAGGACCATTTCTCCCACCTGTATCTATATCAGTGCCATTTATTCCAATATGGAAATAATCTAAACTGATGTACACAGAGAAATAAAAAGGAAAACAAAATAATCTATGGCCAGGCAAGTAAAATAATATCCTAATTTACTCATTTCAAACTATGAAAAACCACACAACTAGAGAAGCACTGTCACTCTTCTCTCTCTTATCTCTGACTTATTTGTTATCTGTATTATGTGCTTTCCCTCCTTTTGTCTTTCTTAATTCATTACCTTTTCTTTTTTATCCATTTGCCAACCCTATGAATGGGTGGTCTGTTCCATGTTTCTAGACAAAATATTCTTGCTTAGATGTGATGGGTGACATAAGGTTTGTGTATTCAAATACCATTTTATGCACTGTTCCACACTTCCCATCCTCAGGATCATTAGTCACAGTATGTGTTCTACGCCATGCACAGAACGTCTCAGCTGATAATGACAATAGTCAAGGAGCATTTTGAGTCTTTTTCTTTTACTAACAAAGTATCAATATCCCCCACAATTTTTCCCTTGTGATTCTACTCTTTCCAAAGTGTAAGTCTTAATATACAAGCAACATTGATCTCTTTAGAATTCCCAAAATGCGTTTTAGTAAACTGACAGTTTTCCAGGATTAACAAAAAGAAAGCTTATTTTGTTTAAAACTGAGTTTAGCGATGAAAAATTGTAAACAGGCTAGAATTTTCAGATATATTATTTCAAATTGATTCCACTTTAATTATGCATGTCATCTGCAGAATAGCATAGTATACAAATTTGACAAAAGGAGAAAATTATCATAATTAAGTCTCAGGATTAAATGTAAATTATTTTATTGATATAAATTATTAATTTTTATAATAACAATTAGATAAAATTTTAACACATCCTTGAGGGAAAAAAGCTAACATCATTTTAGGGTGATATTTACATAGTCAATATAAGACTGCCATAGATTTTTATGAAGGCTTCAAAAAAAATCCCAAGAGAATTTAGAATTCTTGGTATGTTGATTTGTTGAAATCTTAAGAAGAGAACATGAAAATTACACAATAGTGGAACTAAATCGAGATTATAAATTTTAATATAATTTGAAATTCCAGTTTATCAAAAATGCTTTTATAATGTTCTGTGATCTACTTGGTCCCCAGCCACTTATTTCACTTGGACAATAAGCATTTTGGTAACTATTCCTCAAAATGTTCCCTTTTGGATCATGCCTCCTGGTATTCACACTCCTCCTCCAATATGAAATCTTCTCTGGCCCCATGTAACTAAAAAATTGTGGCATAAATAATGCTGCATGAGTTTTAGGCTAGCTTTTAAGCTCTGAAACTTCTATCTTGCAATACTCATTTGTTGTAATACACATGTAAAAAGTCTAACAATAATAAAATCACCAGGCTAAAGAGGGGAGGATGCCACGTTGAAAAACAGCTACTTACGTCCAGGTACAAAGCATGGGAGTAAAAGAAATATCTTGGATATTCCAGCTTCAGCACATCTCAAAGGGAGAAAAAAACTAAAGCTGCAAACTTATGGTCCTATGCAAGCTGTCCCAGCCATCTCCAGACATTGACCTTTACTACTTTTGCTAAGGCCCCAGAAAGAAAGCTATCCCTACCAGGATGGTTTGATTCCTACCCCACGGAATTATAAGCAAAATTAAATAGTTTTTATTTTATGTCACTAAATGTTGCATTAGTTCATTATGCAGTGATAAATAACTGGAACAGATTTTGGTTTCTAGATGTGGAATAGTTGCATGAAAAATAAACAATAAATAAATAAAATAAAATAGCCGAGCGCGGTGGCTCACGCCTGTAATCTCAGCACTTTGGGAGTTTAAAGTGGGCAGATCACCTGAGGTAGGGAGTTAGAGACCAGCCTGACCAACATGGAGAAACCCTGTTTCTGCTAAAAATACAAAAATTAGCCGGGCATGGTGGCGGGCTCCTGTAGTCCCAGCTACTCAGGAGGCTGAGGCAGGAGAATCGCTTGAACCCAGGAGGCAGAGGTTGTGGTGAGCCAAGATTGTGCCATTGCACTCCAGCCTGGGAAACAAGAGCGAAACTGTCTCAAAAAAAAAAAAAAAAAAAAAAAAAGATATAATTAGCTTTCAGATCAGACTTGGGAAAAAGCTGGAAGAACACTGAAGAAATGGCATTATAAGATGGAAGAGACTCAAAGAGGCTGTTGGTGAGGCTTAAAGAACAGCAAAGAAAAAGTTATCAAAAGCTGGAGACAAGGCACAAATTATGCTACACAATGACAGAATTTTAGAAACTGTTATCCATGGTAAAAAAGGATTATAATGATCTTGAGGCTAATTAAGGATATTTCATCACTAAATATCAAAAATTATAATCTTTTTTTGGATGTGTATAATATAGAAGAGAAAGAGGTTTTATAGAAAAAGTTTTCACCCTCTGTTTCTTTGAGTTTGACTTGTTTTAATATACAGAGGCTGTGAATGGGGGGATTGAAGAGATATTGATCAAAGGACACAACATTTCAGTTACGCAAGAGAAATAAGTTCAAAAAATCTATTGTATATCATGGTGACCACAGTTAATAACAATATATTGTATATTTGAAAATTGCTGAGAATGGATTTTGATTATTCTCACCACAAAAATATGTGAGGTAATGTGTATGTTCAATAGCTTGATTTAGCCATTCCACAGTGTATACACATAACAAACCATCATGTTTTACACATAAATATATGCAATTTTTACTTGTCAATAATTTTTTTTGAAAAGGAAAAAGAATTTTTTCAGTTTTTAAAGATAATTTAGAGGATATGTATAGAAACCAGGGCTTTATGGACTCAAAAATAAAGATCTTCCTTATCCCCACCAAAATATTCTTAAACTAAGAAATGGATGAAGATAAAATCCAAAGTTAGGTTCTTTGTAAGGATTAAAAGTGCTGCCCTATAAAAAATTTCTGCTATTCAAATGACCTTGTAAGGGTCTTAAGGACATACCTATTGAATCTTTTGTTAAAGGCCGTGAGGACTTTAAGGGAGTTGTACCACAACAGCCTTACATAGGGCCCAAAATAGAAAATGGCATGTCTAAAAGAGACTTGTGGTTGTGGCTTTTGTTTTATGTAATAGGCCTCAATATGACTAGTGTAAAAAACACAGAACTTTATTGGAAGAAGCACTGCCTGTTTGACTAAAAGGCCCAGAGCCAGTAAAAAATGAAATGATACTTCCTAGAGAGAGAGGTGACAAACTAGATCTCAGAAATTCCTGCCATCCCAGTCCAGGTGCCATACGCCATGAGTACAAACGTCCTCAGAGGTCACAGCCTCAGTCTCCATCTAACTGCAACCTAATTGTATGAGGGACCCTAAGTGGGAATCACCCAGCTGAGCCTGTCATTCCAAAATTGTGAGTGATAATAATACATTGTTGTTTTAAAACAATAAGATTTTGAGGAGGTTTGTTATACAGTATCAGATAATGAGAATGAGAATTATCTCTTGAACAACCTTTACTAAAACTTAATTGGTAATATGGAAAAATTATAAAATCCATTAGAATAGATATTTTAATGCCTATCTGAAAACTTAGTGTATACAAATTTGAAAATTATGTTTTTCATGGTGTTAGTGAGTTATTCAAAAGCAATAGAAGCATTCCCTGATTAAGTTTGAATGATGTGGAAGGAGGGGAAAGAGGGGGTTGAAATAGCATGAAGAATCTTTTCCAAACATTTTTGACCAACAAAAGCCTTTTTCAAGATGCATTTCATGATTTTAATGTTATTATTTGAAATAAACATTAACAAACACTGCTATCATTTCTGGGTCACAACATACAGTGAGTACATGAGCACTGTTTAAAAGCTGGAGATGACATGGTAAAGGAGATGAAGTCTTTAGACTTAAGTAACTTACATTTTATCAAGGTATACTATGTTTAATCAAAGCTAAATTGACCTTTTAAGCAAATTTATCAATGTCAACTCTAATCTTAACATACAATCCAGTCATAAGCTTAAGGAAGACTTAAAACATGTTAGTCCTACATGTTATAGCAGAAAAATACATATCATGTGTTCTAATTCTGGCTCTATTGCTAGCATCTTCAGGTGTCAATTTTACCTATAATATGAGATAATTAGACTAAATTATCTCCAGTATTTCACTCACATCCAGGAGTTTTAGGGCAACTAAATTTCTATACACAATGTCTGTGGAACTCATATCTTTGAATGGTACTAAATATTTTTTTAGGGTGGCTGATATTGCACAATAGCATTTAAGATTATCTTTGTTTTGATTCTTTCCAAAAAATTACTTTAAAATTTATCACAACAAAAGTAATGTATACCATTCCAAAAGATCATACCTGCTAATACCAAATGAGCCAGTCCAAAAGAATATTTGCCATATCAGTCAAGAATCTCCAAAATTGGAAAGCATCAAAATCTCTGATTTTGTTGAATACTATTCAATTATTATTTCATGTACTCTACTTCAATTTCAGCATGAATCGCAATGTTTTTGGAATTTGAGTTGAGAATATTAGCCTATATATTAATTATCTTAACCTAGCTGCACAACTTACCTTTAAAACTTGAGAAAAGAATAGATAAAGGCGAGATGGGCAAGACTGCCAGTCTGCATGTTAGCCAAATTGTAAAAGGTCTATATAGAACCTAAGTGTAAATGAAAGTAAAAGTCATGTTAGATGGCTATATGTGAAATTTGAAATGCAAAATGTACACAATGTTTTTCTACACATTTTTATACCAATAGAGTGTTGGCATTTACAAATGTTTTGGAAGTTTTTATATAGTAATTTTTTTTCTCAAATGAAACCAATTTTAGAGTCCAGTATATTCTAAACACAGATTTAAAATATCCCTGCTTTGGTGCTTAATGTTAGATGTCAGATTGACCGGATTAAGGAATACTTAGAAACCTGGTAAAGCACTATTTTTCAGTGCATCTATGAGGGTACTTCCAGAAAAGATTAGCATGTTAGTGTGAGTGAAAAGGCAGGGAAGATCCGCGGTCAATGTTTATGGCACTATTCAACTGGCCTGGGACCCAAAGAGAACAAAAACAGAGGAAAGAGGAAGATGTCTATCTATCTTCTGGAGCTGGTATACACTCTTCTTTTCCTGTCTTTAAACATCAGAATTCCAGGGTCCCAAACCTTTGGACACCAAGACTTACACCAGCTAGCATTCATTCTTAGACTAAGAATTATACTATCAAATCCCCTGGTCCTGACTCCTTTGGATTTGGGCTGAGCCACGCTACTGACATCCCAGAATCTCCAGCTTGCAGATGGCCTGTCATGGAACTACTCAGTCTCCATTATCATGTGAGCAAATGAGCCCTCAGATCTAGTCACTTTCAATAACACTTCCCTGTGATCTGAAATTGAATGAGAAAAAGAAACAATGTGTTTGTCATAGGTATGTTTTTTATAATGTGCTCTATTCAATTTCCAAGTAAATATTTTATTCACTTTTATTAGTTTGCAGTCAACTCCAATACAAAGAATTCAACTGGGAATCACTGTGTTTATAAAATCGTAGAGTTGGAAAAGCCATTGCGGGTAGTGTTCTCCAAATTTCTACTCAGTGCAGCCTTTTCAATTGCATTGCTTCTGCATCTCATCATTCTCAGGTATCATGCAAGCCCTAGATCTTTTCCTAAGCATTAGAATCTCCTCCCTACACTATTGAAAAACTTCATGCTAAGCCACTTCATACAAGGTGACTGAAAACCTACTTTTAATAATTTACCCTCAAAAGGATCAGGGATCCCAGATTAAGATTATTACCCTTCCCATTTTAAAACCAAGAAGTTTGAGAGATTTGATAACACTCATGCTGTCTCCTTATATAGTGTCTAAACTTAAGGTAGATTAGAAGTTCCTTTAAAGGTATAAAAATGTTACATTACTAAAATTCTAATCTAAAAGCCCAAGTTACAGTAGGCATAATGAAAGAAGAAAAATAGTAACTGTAAAAACAAATACGTTTTCCCTTCTTTTTACTCACTATATTTTTTTCTATTGTTATGTCTCCATTCATTCATTTTCAATTTAGCTCCTTTCCCACTACCTAAATCAATCTACTCTTATTCTGTAGCTTCTGCATCATATCAAACATGTGATTCTATATTATAACAGACAAAGGATAAAATGGCTCATCAAGTCTAAGTTAATGAACCACCAGAGAATTTTCTTATAAATAAAGAACTGAAAGATGGCCAGGAAGTAATTGCATTTTTACCCTCTCATATATCACTCCATTTTTCTTAATAAACTGTTTTCTATGACCGCAATAATCTGTATTGGTTCATTTTCACACTGCTGATAACAACATACCTGAGACTGGGTAATTTATAAAGAAAAAGAGGCTTAATGGACTCACAGTTCCACGTGGCTCGGGAGGACTCACAACCATGGTGGAAGGTGAAAGGCATGTCTTACATGGTGGCAGACAAGAGAGAATGAGAGCCAAGCAAAGGGGGAAACCCCTTATAAAATCATCAGATCTCATGAGACTTATTCACTACTAGGAGAGCAGTACAGGAGAAACTGCCCCATGATTCAATTATCTCCCACCAGGTCCCTCCCACAACACGTGGGAATTATGGGAGCTACAATTCAAGATGAGATTTAGGTGGGAACAAAACCAAACCATATCAATATTATAATGTTTTACGGATAGTTATCTGTGAATATTTCATGGTAACTATACTAATTGCAACATAAAGAACAGCAAGTGTGTCCAAAGTACAGACAATTTCACAAACCAGGTCAGCACCATGAAGTGACAATGATTCTGAAATTCAAGTTTACACATTAGCATGCTCTTAGGAAAACTCCAATTTGAAGATAAAATTAAGTATAGGAAACTAACTGTTGTAATCAATATTAGTATTCTAATAAGGTTATGCTCATAAGAAAAGCTAATCTACTGAGAAAAGTAATTATATATTTGAGAAACTGACTGAGAAAAATAACCTATGCATATGTCCCAAATTTTAAACCACCATGTTTCTTCTTTCTAATGGATTATGACATATTTATGTAGCTCCAGAAACATCTACTGCCCAGAAATATTAATGTAATCATTACCAAAATATTCTTGACAAGGAACTGAGAGTTTAGAATGACCAAATATTTATGTCATATCCAACTTTATTGCTTGAAAATGGACATAGCAAGTGCACAATATTAATGTCAGTCTAACAAGATTATATAAAGATTAAAACAAAAATCCTTCATCTGACCATATTTAGTTTATCATTTCTAACAACTGGCTTTCAGGCTAGCCAAATGATTTCCTCTCTTCACCAATATTATGTCCTTCATATTCTTATAAGCAGGTATGTTGTTTAATAAGTCTTTCCATATTTCCTTGTAATATTTTGTTATAAATTGAATCATCTATTAGTCATTTCCATGAGTCCTGTACACATTCCTCACCATTTGTCAACACCAGTAAGAATAACCTCAGCACTTTACACTTGGCCTTACCTAGCTTCATTAAGATTGTCACCTACCTCCCCTGAACTCACAGACCTAGTTAACATGGTATCAAACACAACAAATGGATTCTTCTCTTCATATATAATTAGCTACCTGCTCTCATTGTGATTTCAACATCTGATTTTGATCATTACAATGTTTTTAGTATAGAGTACACAAACTATGTATTTTACAAACTAATAACAATTTTTTCTGTTACTGTATGATATCTGTCAAGTTGTTTCTTCTAATAATATAAAAGAAAATCAATTTTATCTTAGTCCCTCCGGGCTGCTAGAACAAAATGCTATAAATCAGGTTGCTTAAAAAAAACAGCAATTTATTTTTTACAGTTCTGGAAGCTTGGATGTTCAAGATCAATGTGCAAAAAGATTCAGTGTCTATTAAGGGCCAACTTTCTCGTTCACAGACATTACTTTCTCACTGTCTTTCTCATGGTAGAAGGAGCTAGATAGCTCTCTGAGGTCTCTTTTAAAAGCACAGTAATACCAATCATGAGGGCTCTGTCCTCTCAAAAGCCCTATCTCCTACTATCATTACCTTGAGGATTAGGATTTCAACATATAATTTTTTTATTGTTGTTGTTGTTTTTTTTCCCGAGATGGAGTCTCATTCTGTCTCCCAGGCTGGAGTGTGGTGGCTTGATCTTGGCTCACTGCAACATCCGCCTCCTAGTTTCAACTGATTTCCCGCCTCAGCCTCCCGAGTAGCTGGGATTACAAGCACCCACTACCACGCTGGGCTAAATTTTTTGTATTTTTAGTAGAGACGGGGTTTTACCATGTTGGCCAGGCTGGTTTCGAACTCCTGACCTCCAGTGATTCACCTGCCTCAGCCTCCCAAACTGCTAGGATTACAGGTGTGAGCCACCGCACCTGGCCTCAACATATGAATTTGGAGGGGACACAGATATTCAGGTCATAGCAATTTTCTGATATAAAAGTAGGAATATTACTGTTAAACAAAATTTTGAAAGACCTATAATAGTTAAGAACAAACATAGTAGCAAAAGGGCTAATTCTTGCCTATTATTCTACTCTCTAAATTTTGAGAATCAAAACTTTTCAAATATCCTTTTATAAAACAAAGAACGAAACATTGCTACTCAATATATATGTGAAATTTATTTCAAACTAAAACTATCTTAATTCTCACACTAGAGCTTTACTTCAGTAAAACGGAAAATGATTTTTTAAGTTTTCCATCCATACAGAGAAATCATGGCTTATATAACAAGAAAAACATTACAGAAAATCTCTGTTATAATTTCAAATTCATGCAAATGGTAGGCTCTCATTGCTTCACCATGTTATGCTCTTTTCTCTTTTTGAATATTTTCTCTTATTCACCACCCACCACCATCTATCAAACTATCGATCTTCCAAGATCAATTCAAATGTCAGCTTCTCTATAAAGTTGTTCTGCAATTCTAGCCAGAATAAATTATTTCTGAAACTATGATTTGATAGCACTTTTTATGGTTATGTAGAAACATTATTCTCCTCTATTAAAACATAAATTCTGTCATTAACAGAGTCTATACCTTACTAATTTTGTAGCTTAGTAACAGCTAGCACAAATATGTAGTCATCCAACTATCAGTATATTTCTAGAGCTACAGAGTCAGGGATAATAGCGTGGTTAAGTACCCAGCATAAGAATAAAAAGGGGGAAAAGTCCATATCAGGGTCCATGAGTTTGGTGAGCAGGTGCCCCTAAACATGAATATGTCCCATACCAAAGCTGGAATAAAAGTTTGTGATATTAACATGAAGTAATCTCTACATTTTGTTTTGTTGTTTTTTGTTTTGGTCTCTAGTAGCCATCTCCATTTGATCCAAAAAATTTGGCACCACCTTTTCTCTAGAGTAAGAGTTGGAACTAAGTAAGTTGTTGATAAAATGCTATTTTAGAGCCACAAGGTGGGGGGACGGGTGCAAATTATTGATTTCTGACTTTAAAACTGTAGCCCATAGGTAAAATCAAAATACCGGAAAAACGATGTAATCCTAGAAAAAAATGTCTTGTCCCGTGAACTTAATCCTCAACTTCTGAGATTCTTAAACTCTTGTTGAGTTGGGGAGAGAGGACAGGATTTGTAGACGTGAAGGAAAACAATCAGTTTTGAACACGGAGGGGACTTGTGGCTCTCAGATGAAGACATTCGTTCAAGTTTGAGAATGAAAATGTGAACAGAATGTGAACTTCTTGTTTACATCGGAATTTGGCAGCCACACCTAAGGTTGAAGTGACAGCAGCAGAGATAGCAGTGGGTGGATTTAGTCAAATGACTGCTGAGTGCAGCCCATTGAAATTTCCAGAGACATTCAGTGGCATCAGTTGTCATCAAAGTCCATGAGTTGTTCCCTTTTAATTATCTCAGTTGACCTAGAAGGAGGGGGTACACACTCCTTCTGCTATACAGTGTGGCAACAGATATTGGAAGTTCCAGAGAAATTCTCCATCCTATTTGTCTAATATCTTTCAGGCCCTCAAGCTGAGTGATGTAAGATGATTTTATAAGGCTTATTTCTGAATCAATGTGATGTTCAAACATGTTATGATGAAGTTCTACTAATCTGGTTTGCAAACCTTCCACAATATTTCTTATGTAGCTCCTAAATGTGTGATGGCTAGAATGTGTGATTTTTTTATTCCATGAAAAATTACTAAAATGTCAAGGAATGTATTCCAAAGATGTTTTTCCTTTTCCTTTTCTTTTCATCTTTTTCTCTAAATTTCAACAATATAGACACATTGAATCCAAGAAACACTGACATCACATTTCTCCACATGCTTACAAATGATAGCTAGGGAACAATAAGCATGTTTAGAAATATTTGGGAAAGGCAGAGAGGGGCTGGCTGGAAGTGATTTAAAGATTTATAAGATTAAAGTGATCTGAAGAGTTTAATAATATGAGTTAGGGAGTGGAATTCAATAACAATATGGCTCAACTTGCTCACATGCTGTGTCTTGCATTTCTTGACATTAACAATCTTTACTTTGTCCACTGTAAAATCATGAATGTTTGGTTACTCAAATGATTTTTCCAAATTCCCTCGGCTCTCCTCTATCCAATTATTTTTATAATACAGTGCCTTGAATATCTTAATGGAGTAACTGGCACAGGCTCTCCTCTCTGTTAATATTGGATCATCAAACACCTTCATCGCTACAACAGGCTTAGGGAGACAATTAGAGTAAATATTTTTGCAAGATGCTTGAAGTGAAATAACTTTGAGTTATTCTTTATATAAACTGATCTATTTAGGGCTTCCTAATGAAAAGAAGGAATGTGCATTGAATATAGAAAAGCAAGCTACTGTTGGGAACAAAAATGTACTTTCACAAGTGTCATATTTTAATCAAGCTTCTAGAGAAAAATGATATTTTTCTCCTTATTTAAACATATTATCACACCCACACATGTGTCTGCCACTATAGAGGATTTCAGTTGTGACTGTTCATTTTGACTATTTAGCCCTAGTGCCTTGGGTTATCACTCACATGGACAGTATTCTTATTGTCTTGGCTAGAAACCACATTTTTTACTTTTAACAAAGGTCTGGTTATCTTCAAAGTGTCAAATGCTTTATACTGTGAAGAATGCTTAGCACCTGGGCTTCCAATTGAAGCTGAATACAGTGTCAGAGAAAGCTGTGATTACTGTAAGAAATTCAGGCTTCAGAATTGCTTTACTGTGGTATATCATGTTCAAGAACAGATTTTCTATATGTTCCATGAAAGTAGCTGACTATGCATTCCACCTTTATTCATAAAAATCTAGTCTGTTTTACAACTGACAGTTGAAGTTTATTCTGCTCATTTTTAAAAATTGCCTCTAATTAAAAATTAAATGAGAAACATACTTCTGGCCTTAAATTTCTATAGAAGACTGATGCTTCAGACATAAAAATAACTAATCATTCTATGATTCTATGTTCCTCTTTTTCTTATTTTTTTTCTTCTTTGCTTCCTCTATGAGTAACAAACACAAAGGGCATATTCCTTTGTTTTTGTTTGTTTCATTTCACTTTGATTTTATGGCAAGAATGGTTATCTTCCTTAGAGACTCATAAAATAATGTATTCAAGATTTTATAATAATTTCTTTAGATATACTATATATTCAAGTTTTCAAAGACATTTTCTCTTTCAAAAACAGTATCTCTTTTATTAATGAAATTCAGAATCCATAATTGATAAATTATGAATGATGAATTCAACTAAATATAAATCAAATAACATATAGGTCAAAACACATTTATGCAAACACATATGACAAACTAACACAAAATTATTTATAATACATCATAAACAAAGAGGTAATGCACTCTCTATATAAAGAACACTATTAAATAAATTAAAAGAAGGCAAAAGGAAAAATGGAAGATGATTACTTACTGTAACAGTATATGACATATAATAAGATGATTAAATGTTTTATGAAGCAATGGGTAAGCAAATAATTCTTTGGACAATTGTCCAAATATTTCAATTAAAAGCTTTACTTTTTCTGATATATAAATTTTCCCTTTATATTATCACATAAATAGGAAATGTAGAATGTCTTTTCCTATTTACAAAAAAGACCAATATACAAGTGTTAACTTATGAATCACATTATCTCATTTTAGCTTAAGTTATAGCTATACTTTTATTTGTTACAGAAGAATTAAGAGACATGATAGATGATGAAGATGAAGATAGATAGATGATTACTAGATGTAAATTCAATTGTTGTTTTTAGTTCCTCACTGCCTTTTTCAGTTAGAAGACCTTTCAGTGCACTACCGTGGATGGAGTATATTTCTCCACTTCATCTATATTGGGCTTTGCCCATGGGAATTGCTTTGGCCAGTAGAACATTAGTTGACATGATTTAAGCAGAGAACTCAAACATGCTTGAGTGGTTTGGCATGGGTGGCTTGGCCTCCTATGCTCCTAATACCTGGATAGCTGCTTATCAACAAGAAATGTAGAAACACACGGACCACACGTGAACCAAACCCACAGCCTTGAGCTGGAACCTAGCCTGTAACTATTATGCAGAATCATGAGCAAATGTGTGTTTGTTATTATAAACCACTGAATTTTAAGGTGATTTTCTGTACAACATTATTTCAGTATGAGTTGACCAATTTTTTAAAATGGTACCAAAAGTAAAACACTGCCATAAACAACCCTCCCCTGCCCCAAAAGAAAATGGCTTCACAATTTGGTAGGGAGTGTTGAAGCAACTATTAGAAAAGAATGAGAAAATTTTAACCCATATTATATGGCATCAAAATACTTTCATAAAACCATCACCTATGGAAACCTAGAAGTCAGAAAATATATTTAATGAACTCCTGGCACTGGGCAAGTTTGTTGCCCAAATTTGGCAGTATGTCGATATCATAACTGGCTGTTATTAGTTGCATATTATGGTATCTCCAGGTGTATGAGTTCAATGAAAAACTAGCCAGTTTGCAAGCGGAATTTCAAGGAAATATAGAGATTCCCTTCCCAACAAGACTACTTTTCCAGATAACCACAGGGTAGTTAGCATTAAGTTGAGAGATGCATGAGAGAGAGAATGCAAAGAAATACTTTATGCTTGAGAATTAGTCCTAAGAAAGAACTTTTGGCATAGTTACTTGAGAGAAACAAGTAGATCAGAGGCTGGGCAGGATGACTCATGCCTGTAATCCCAGCAATTTGGGAGGCTGAGGTGGGCGGATCACAAGATCAGGAGATCGAGACTATCCTGGCCAACATGGTGAAACCCAGTCTCTACTAAAAATGCAAAAATTAGCTGGGCCTGCTGGCACGTGCTTGTAGTCCTAGCTACTTGGGAGGCTGAGGCAGGAGAATCGCTCGAACCCAGGAAGCAGAGGTTGCAGTGAGCCAAGATCCCGCAACTGCACTCCAGCCTGGCAACAGAGCAAGACTCCATCTCAAAACAAACAAACAAACAAACAAATAGATCAGAAGCCTAAAGAATTTTTTAGTAAAATGTATTCTAAAAAACCCCACAAGCTTGTATCTTAAAGTCATTTGATTATTTAAGAATAATAATTGAAATTTTTGACAAACATTGAGTGTCTGAATTTATAATATGAGGACTTTTCTGTAAAATTTTTACAGTACCTGATGAGAAAAAAAAATTATGATAATTGTTAAATAGTAAGGCAGATCTTTTTCAGGTCCAGCATGATAAGTGTAGGGACCACAGCAATGGGGTTTTGCAGTAGGGGAGACAGATTGGACTCAGCTCCAAATACAAGGAAAAGTATAGTGAAGGAACAGAGTGGGGCTCAGTGGACGTACAATTACTAAAAGCAAATATCAAGGATAAGGAGGGATTACGGCTAAAATGACTTAAGAGGATTCTTGCTGAAAGCAGGCCACGGTTATCAGAAATCACCTAGGGGATGGTGGAGGATGAGGAACCCCATCAGATTTGAGAGCAGTCAGATAATGAGGGTGTTCAAGGAGATAACTTTGTGCTTTGTCATACTCAAAAAGTTTTAATCATCAAAACCTATTTCGGCTGTGTTCATGGAGTATAATAAGCAAGGAATAATTTTCTAGAACATGAACAGAGGACATGAAGAACAATGAACAAGGGAATTGCTCCCAGAGAGCAAAATATGGATTTAATTCAGGAGCTTCCCCCTTGCCTCCTCATCCTACCTTAACTAGGGCAGAATTACCTCCAAGTAAGTGATTATTAACTATATTCTTCAACATCTGAGTAATATTCACCTATATAGGTCCTGTCTTCAAAACTATATAATACTCAGGCTAGTGAGTAAGATGAGAGGAAAGTGATTTTCAATGCTACAAATAAACTTTTATATATGTTGAACCCTTTGTGTTTAATCTCACCTCCCACATAGCTACAATCTAAGGTAAACCTGTAAAGGAAAAAATGTTATTCACTATGTGGAAGGTCTGAGTAAAAACTTCTTCCTAAGAAAAATATAAGATTTCATTATCTGGTAGCCTTCTAGTATCTACAAATATTTTAGAGATATTTTGACTTCTGAATAAATACACAAAAATATCAAATGTTCTGATTTCAAAATTAAACTGGACTTGCTAGTAAGATGGATTGACTCATTTACATATGCTGTTTTTAGAATAAAAAGCTAAAAGACTTTCTTTATAATTCCTTTTTAAAAGGAGTTTAATTTAATAATTATTATACATAAACTTAAAGTTTCTAAAAGAAAGAATTAATTGTCCTTCTTTTGATGTTTTCTTACAAACTAATTTGTATCTGAATAGCTTTTTTCTTCTAGAATTTCTATAGCTTTTTGTTAAACTAAATAGATTCAAATGATATTGTGTTCTCAGTTTTCTTATGTTAAAAATAGTCTCACAATAGATACCAGAATCAAAGAATTATACATAATAGTTCATAAGAAAAAGGGTGCTTTTATTTTAGTTTGAGAGAAATTTATTTGAATAAAGTCCAGTTTTTTTCAAACTGTATTCAACTAAATTGATTCTCTCTACTTTAAATAAAATTTTCATACTTCCTTTCTCAGTGTCTAAGACATTTACATAGACTGTTTTATAATGCTGATTAAGTTCAATGCTTGCTAAATACTGTGGGAATTAAAGTCCATGAAATCTTGTTTTAACTATTATTTGGGGTTTTTTTGGATCTAAATGTCTCATTCTATGCCCCCACACACACACTTCATATAAGGGGGTGATTGACATTTTTTTTAAAAAAAGAATCATTTATTTGGGTAACTTTAAGATTCTCTTTTCATATGTTTTCATCTCAGGCCAAGAGAATGTGAAGTTCTATGTTGGTATAAAGTACCAAGAGTAAATTACATTTTGCTCCATAGAAGGACACCATATTCAGATTTTATTTCACTAAGTAGAATATCCATATCAGCAATTTAACAAAATGGAAATACCTCCCATTAACATTTTCACTACTGAGGAACTAATTTGTATTATTTTATGTCACCCCTTAGAATATATTTAAATCTCAGACTTGTCAGCTACGAAAAAGATCATCGAAATTTTGTGCTAAAATCCTAAACTACAGTTAAAAAATATATATTTTAAATGACTTCAGAGAGAATTTATCAACAAAAGAAAAAAATGTTTATAGTCATAGTTTCAGATATTTTTAATTTTTTTATATTTTAAAATATTTTTTAAATAGTGCTTTGAAATGCATTGTGAGATTTTTAAAAATCTGCCATCTGTAATATTTTTGTCAGAGGCATTTGAACCAGAGCAACTCCATCTTGAATAGGGGCTGGGTAAAACGAGGCTGAAACCTGCTGGGCTGCATTCCCAGACAGTTAAGGCATTCTAAGCCACAGGATAAGATAGGATGTCAGCACAAGATACAGGACACAAGGAGCTTGCTGATAAAACAGGCTGCATACAGTAAAGAAGCAGGTTAAAACCCACCAAAACCAAGATGGCAACAAGGGTGACCTTTGGTTGTCCTCACTGCTACACTCCCACCAGTGCCATGACAGTTTACACATGCCCTGGCAATGTCAGGAAGTTACCCTCTATGGTCTAAAAAGGGGAGGCACCCTTTCTTTAGCACACCGTCAAGAAATAACCATAAAAATGGGTAACCAGCAGCCCTCGGGGCTCCTCTGTCCCTGGGGTAGCCATTCTTTTATTCCTCTACTTTTGTAATAAACTTACTTTCACTTTCTGGACTCGCCCTGAATCCTCTCTTGTGCAAGATCCAAGAACCGTCTCTTGGGGTCTGGATCAGGACCCCTTTCTGGTAACATTTTAATCAAATTCATGTGCTTTCTCTCAGTGGAATATGTCAGGAGAGGTGTATTCCCTCTTAAAATATTTTATTTTCCTGCTTAAAATATTCTGTTGGTCCTGAGATTGCAAATACACCCTAATATGGTGGGAAAGATGATTTGTTCTCCATCTGGGAATGTTTATGTTTACCTTAACTATTGATGAGACTTTTCTCTAATACCTACCAATAGAGCCTGACCAGACAGACACTGTGTGCATGCCAATAAAAAAGAAAACTGGCAGCTAACATAACCCTTGAAACAAACTCTTTTCTCTGGCTATGTGGCCTTGCATTTGTCACTTGGATTTGCTAACAATGTTTACACTATACAATTATGAATCATCTACTAGTTTGAGTCTTCAAATAGCAAATAGATGAGAAAACACTGTCTCCTTGTAAAGGAGTTATTTTGGTTCTCTTTGTGATTTAAATATAATTGATGTATACAGAAATAAATAACTTAATTGTTAAGAATTTAATATATTCACTCTAATATGAACATAATTGTCTAAATTTAGATAGCATATTGAGTTGTAAAATTTACTTTTCAAGTTTTTAGAAAATCAAAGAAGACTAATCTGAAAAAAATTACTTCTATATGGCAATAATATACAATGCTGACCATTACTATTCTTAAATTTAGAAAAAATAAGGAAGACCTTTTATTTTAGCTTACAGTTACTTTGTTGTGCCATAAAATGGTGAAGACAATGCTGTAAGTCAAACATATGTCTCTGTTTCTATAACACACTGGAAGGAAGCTGAGAATTCTCTTCCGTTGATGTACTTGGAATTGAGGATGGATTCAAGCAATAATTCAAGGGAGGTACTGCAAAGAGTTACAAATCACTTTCCTGTAGTAGAATGCCAATGCATTTGGAGATACATAGCCAGAGTCTATTTGACATGTTTTATGCATGAAAACTTGCTCATAGAAGGGGGTTGAAATACATTACTAGATATTAGAAATGTTATCTTTTTCTAAAATAATTGTTATTGGAATAACAGAAAGTACCAACATAAGCTAACACAGGTTCCAAAAATATGGAGACTCTGAGTTTTGGAGACACTGGCAGGAATCCTAAGCCTGAAGATGCCATAGAGAGAGAAAATGGCTAATGGCTCTCAGTTCCACGTCCAACAGCTCACCTAAACCCTGTGAAAAACCACTAGGTGGCCCAAAGGTGCTTTGTTTGTAGTGTGGGAAGAACTTCAGCCTACAGCAAAAAGGAACAGGTCCACAAACAGATACTTTTTAATTCCTTTTATCTATCCCCTAACTTTCACTGGGCAACATAAAGTAAACACATTAAACTCAACAGAAAAAAAAAAAAGGTGACATAAATTCACAAATAATCACTTAAGTACAAATAAAATACAAAGTTATTACTTTACTCAAAGCTATTTTGAAGAAAAAATTGTCAGAATTCAGGGTACTCAGCAAGTTTACCTTTAGGTATATTACATAACTTTCACAGAGTTCTATATGGAAGCATTGACAAGGTTGTTCATTTTAATGGTGTTCATGGAAGAAATGGATCATCTGGGTGCCACGACCAAGGGAATAGGAGAGTCAAGACTGTTACATACACGTGCTAGAATACCATTGCAATATTCAGAGTCAAGGAAGGAATTTTACATGTGTCAACATTATAGATCTCGAACATATAATATTTTCAGTGAAAAATAGTAAGAAATGCAAAGTATTTATAATTTATGCAAAGTAAACATGTACAATTAAATTAATATTTTATAAAAATTCTAAATAAATCTGTAGAGAAGAGATTGCAAGAGTGTTCATTTAATATAGTAAAATAGGTACCTGGAGTGGGTGAAGAAGTGAAAAATTGTTTTTTTTTAAGAAGAATATAACCAAGATACCAAAGCAATATCATTAGCTTTTCCTCTGTAACTTGTACTTTATTATTAGTAATTTTGAAAGGAAATTGAAAAGAAGAAATCCTTTGCAGATTAGAAATTTATTTTAATTATCTCTTTATTAGTCAAATAAATGATGTGAAACAAACCTCTGCAAAACCTGAGTAGCTTATAGCAAAGAGCGTTTATTTTTTCTCACTTACAGATTTGCAGTTTGAACTATGCAGCCCTTCATCAGGTTCCACATTTACACAGTTCATGACCACGCTTAAGGCCGAGTTCAATTCAGCCCACATGTCTCACACTTCTTAGGTCAGAGGTCCCCATGGCATTTTCATATGATAATATATCAGTGGAGTACAAGAGGTAAATCCAAGAAATGCGAACACTTTAAGAATCCTTCTTGCATGGTATTTCATAAAGATTTATTTAGAGAAAGCTGATTATGTGGCTGAGCCCAATGTTAGTGGTATGAGGAGATATATCACTTCATTTTAGGTACTCGAAAGATCCCATGCAGAAGAGAAGAAACAGGAGTGGGAGTGGAAGGGTGGGATTTTGTCTACTGCTGCAAAATTTACTTACCCGGTCCCAACCCCCAAATTTTCATACATTCAAAAAATCAGGCTTGAAGACTAGGGCTTTATGATCTACCTCAGACCCAGATGAAGATCCTCTTGCTCTGAAAACCAATTAACTAAAAAGACAGATGGTCCTCCACACAGCATTGGTAGAATAACTCAATAAACATTGTCATTTAAAAAGGACAGTGAGAGTCACATAGTAACTATTGTTCCACAGAAATTCTGAAATTCTGGAGGTCAAATGTTGCAAGGTTTACCTAACACATGAGTAGGTAAACATGTCCCTTGATCCGGCCTCTTATCTGCTTCCTGAATATAGTTTCTCAGAACATTCTTCCCCAGGATTCTTGCTTTATTACATGAGGCGCCCCTTTTAAATTATCGCCCTTGACCATATCTGAAAAGGGCATTCAATTACACATTCTTAATGGCTGAGTGGCTTTGTAAGCCCATATTGTGCTTGTATGTAGTTAGAGTCCTGTAAGTATTTTTATACCTGGAATATCAAAGGGTTTTTTTTGCCAAAAATTTTGAAGGTTTTCTGGGTTTTATTCAAGTCAATTCCATAAGCCACAAGTCTTTTTGAGTCATACCTTTCCCTCTGCACTTATTTACTGAAGCTTGGAACATATCAGGTTCCTGTAAGCCATGCACTTCAGCTTTATGGGATCCCTTTTGTCCAACTAATAGAATCTGCAAGGTACCACCTTAATCCTTCCAGAAGTCCACTAATGGTTATGCCAGCTACACGCTTAAGTTTGTTAGGCCCTGAAGCCTTGTCTTAATGGTAGCACTCTGCACATGTTCTTTGTTTCGAGCCTGTGGGTTTTTTTGTTTGTTTGTTTGTTTTTCTCGAGATGGAGTCTTGCTCTGTCACCCATGCTGCAGTACAGTGGTGTGATCTCGGTTCACTGCAACCTCCGCCTTCCAGGTTCAAATGATTCTCCTGCCTCAGCCTCCCAAATAGCTGGGACTACAGGCGCAAGCCACCACGCCTGGCTAATTTTTGTATTTTTAGTGGAGATGGGGTTTCACCATGTTGGCCAGGCTCTTGAACTCCTGACCTCAGGTGATCCACCCGTCTCGGCCTCCCACAGTGCTTTGATTACAGGCATGAGCCACCGCACCCGGCAGAGCCTGTGTTTTAATGGCATGAGTTTCTTACTAAAAATTTGTATTGTTATAGAGTTATTCTTGGTGAACTCAAAATCTGCTAACTGTATGCCTGCTAGTTCAGAAAACAGTTTTACAAAGCAATTGCCTTTGCTTATGATGAATCTCTAACTTTCCAAACTAAGATATCTATATCTTTACTACCTGCCACCTGACCATTAAGCTTATGGCACATATGCTAATTTTTGTTTATAGCTTGCATCTTCTTCCAGTACCAATTTCTGTATATGTTAGATTAGCACTTTCTGCAGTAAATTCTAAAATTTCAGTTGCCTACCACAATGCTGGCTTTTTTTGCTGAGTTAAGAATATAGTATAGATGTTCCTGGTTAGCAGACAGACCGTCCATTCAGCAGACACACACTTTCCATTTATTGTTCCTTTTTCTCCAAGGTCTCTATTTCCTCTGCCTTCATATGAAAGATAGGACATGATTGAGTAGAAAATACACACCTGATTCCTAACTTCTTTGGCTCAGAAAGAAAATATAGCTTTCACTCATGTTCTCTTGGCAAGTACTGGTTACACAGCTAAACTGAGTTTTGATGGGCTTAGGGCTGAATAGACATTCACTGTTGGGCAGCCTCTTCTTGGCAACAACTTTGCAGTAAGAAAGGAGTGCACACAACTAGTCCTCTACCGTAGTAAAAATTGTCGATCTTCTGATAAAATAAATATTATTTACTCTACAAGTGATTTTATATAAAATACTGGTATTATATTTAAAATATCACAAATATGCAAATAGCTAAAAATAGAAAAAATTAAGGATGAAATAGCATTGATTGGAACTAGCTTTTATTGTTTCAAAATCATGAAAATAATCTACATTTTTATTATCTCTATAGAAGTTGTTATCCCTCTTATTCTTTTATTTCAACATCTATATGTTTACTTGGTCCCCTGTCTTATTTCCAAGTTGCCTAATTTGATATTTTTTCCAATCCTTCTAATATAAACCATCTTTACAGATTAGAATATTAAAATGAGGATTTCAACATGTAAAATGTCATCAGGAAATCGCGGATTATAACACTAGCTCCTTTCAAGTTGCCAAACTTAAGGATAGAAACAAAGTCAACTCATAAAATTTATCAAGCATGTATGAAGTAGTATGATGTTAGAACTAACCATGAATAAAATTAATTTCTGTGTTTTGAATTGATGATAGGCATGGTTCTGTGGTTAGTATTATCAGTCTAAGAAGACAGTGAAAACAAAGGTAGTGAAAAATTGAGGTATAAATACCAGAAAATTCCTATGCTTAGAAAAATAGAAAATGCTGAACTAAAAAATATTTGAATATTGATATGTACCAGACATTCTACTAGAACTGTAATTACAAGGATAGATTAAAAACCTGATTTTAAAGAGTTCATTAGACACACAAACACGTGTTTCTAAGACACCATGCAATAAATGCCACAACGGAATAAAATTCGGTCAAAAAAGGACAGATAAAGAAAAGGAACATGCCTAGTACTTATAGTGGATGGAATAGTGTTCCCCTCCCCCAAAATTAACATCCACTGTATTAGACCATTCTCACATTGCTATAAAGAACTACCTGAGACTGAGTAATTTATAAAGAAAAGAGGTTTAATTGACTCACAGCTCCACAGGCTGTACAGGAAGCATGGCTGGGAAGGCTTAAGGAAACTTATATTAATGGTGAAAAGCAAAGAGGAAGGAGTCATGTCTTACATGGCCAGAGCAGGAGGAAAAAAGAGAAGCAGGAGGTGATACACACTTTTAAGCAACAAGATCTCATAAGAAGTCACTCACTATCATGAGAACAGCAAAGGGGAAATCTACCTCCATGATCAAATGACCTCCCACCATGCCCTTCCTGCAACATTGTAGATTACAATTCAACATGAGATTTGGGTGGGGACAAAGATCCAAACCATATCATTTCACCCTTGGCACCTCCCAAATCTCATGTCCTTCTCACATTTCAAAATGTAATCATGCCTTCCCAACAGTCCTCCAAAGTCTGAACTCATTCCAGAAGTCCAAATTCTCAAGTCCAAATCATCTGAGACAAAGCAAGTCTCTTCTGCCTATGAGCCTGTAAAATCAAAAACGAGTTAGTTACTTCCAAGATAGAGTGGGGGTTAAGCATTTGGTAAATATTGACTTTCCAAAAGGGAGAAATTGGCCCAGACAAAGGGCTGCAGGCCCTATGCAAGTCCAAAACCCAGCAGGGCAGTTGTTAAATCTTAAAGCTACAAAATAATGTCATTTGACTCCATGTCTCATATCCAGGTCACACTAATGCAAAAGGTGGACTCCCAAGGCCTTGGGCAGCTCTGCCACTGTGGCTCTGCAGGGCTTATCTCCCATGGCTGCTCTCAAAGGCGGGTGTTCAGTGTCTGCAGCTCTTCCAGGGTGTATGATGCAAGCTATCAGTGGATCTGAGGTCTGAAAGATGGTGGCCCTCTTCTCACAGCCCCACCAGGCAGTGCCACAGTGGAGACTCTGTGTGGGAGCTCTAACCCCACATTTCCCCTCTGCACTGCCCTAGTAGAGTTTCTCCATGAGGGCCTCATCCCTGCAGCTATGGCATCTCCATATGTCCTCTGAAATGTAGGTGGAGGCTCCAATGTCTCAACTCTTGCCATCTGAGCAACTGCATGCTTAACACCACATAGAAGCTGCCATGGCTTATGCTTGTATCCTCTGTAGCAGCAGCCTGAGATGTATCTGGGGCCATTTTAGCCATGGTTGGAGCTGGAGTGGTTGGGACACAGGGTACAGCATCACAAGGTTGCTCAGAGCAGTGGGGCCCTGGGTCTGGCCCACAAAACCGTTCTTCCTTATTAGGCCTCTTGGCCTGTGATGGAAGGGGCTGTGTTAAGTTCTCTCAAATGTCTTTGAGGTATTTTACCCATTGTATTGGGTATTAACTTACAGATCCACTTTACTTATGCAACTTTCTGCAGCCAGCTTGAATTCTTCCCCAGAAAATGAGTTTTTCTTTTCTACTACAAGGCCAGGCTGCCAATTTTCTAAGCTTTTATGCTCTGCTTCCCTTTTAAATATAAGTTCCAGTTTCAGATCATCTCTTTGCTCACACATATGGTTATACTGTCATGTGTATGACTGTACACTGTTAGAAGCAGCCAAGCCACATCTTGAATGCTTTGCTGTTTAGAAATTTCTTCTGCCATATACCCTGAATCATCACTCTCAAGTTCAAAGTTTCATAGATCCCTAGAGCAGGGGCACAATGCATCCAGTCTCTTTGCTAAAGCATAGCAAGGTTGACCTTTACTCGAGTTCCCACTAAGTTCCTCATCTCCATCTGAAACCACCTCAGCCTGAACTGCATTGTTCATATCACTATCACAACAATTTAAAAAGTCTCTAGGAAGTTTGAAACTTTCCCTATCTTCCTGTCTTCTTCTGAGTCCTCCAAGCTGTTCCAACCTCTTCCCATTAACCACTTCCAAAGTTGCTTCTACATGTTCAGGTATCTTTATATCAATGTCCCACTTCTCAGTACTAATTTCATGTATTAGTCTTTTCTTATATTGCTATAAAGAACTACCTGAGATTGGGTAAGTTTATAAAAGAAAAGAGGTTTTATTGACTCACAGTTCTGCACCTTGTACAGGAAGCATGACTGTGAACGCCTCAGGAAACTTACAGTCATGGCAGAGGACAAAGAGGAAGGAGGCACGTCTTACATGGCCAGAACAGGAGGAAGAGAGAGAATGGGAAGGTGCTATACCCTTTTAAACAACCACATCTGATGAGAACTCACTATCACAAGAACAGCAAGGGGGAAGTCCACCTCCATGATCCAATCCCCAGCCACCAGGCCCCTCCTTCAATACTGTGGATTACAATTTGACTTGAGATTTGGAAGAAGACACAGACTCACATCATATAATCCAACTAGAACCTCAGAATGTGACCTTATTTGTAAATAGGGTCTGTGCCTGTGTAACTAATTAAAGAATTCAAGATAAAATCATCTTGGATTTAGGGTGGGTTGCAAATCTAACGACTGGTCTCTTTATAAGAGAAATAAGAAGGATATTTGGATACTGAGATACAGATAATGTTCTAGAAATGAATCGTGGTGATGGTTGCACAATAATATGAATGTACTTAATGCCCCTCAACTACATACTTTATAAGGGAAATATTGTATGATTCCATCTATATGAGGTATCTATAGTAGGAAAATGCATAACATGATGCATATTATATGACATATATATTATGCTATATCACATATCACTATGATATAATGATGATATATTATACATTATGACATAATCTCTCTCTCTCTCTCACACACACACACACACACACACATATATTATATATATATATTAGAAGGCCTGAACAGCAAATCTAAAGGGCCAAAAACATGGACTAGTACATGTAAACTACGATACTTCATGAGAGAACATCTTCCTGAGGAGAGAGAGTTGAAGACGCCTGGTAAAGTCTGGAAGAGAGAGAAAATATTAACTCTTGAGCAGTATGTTATTAAAATGATTCCTAAATTCATCTCCTATGGACTTGCATCTGAGTCTTGGTAGAGGAGGTGTACACTTAAATTGTAACTATCTATCTTCTGGAATCCCAAGGAGTTAATCTTGGGAGCATTTTGAGACGCCTTTCTAACAGGAAATGCTTATAATTGTTGGGAGGGATCTGAAGGTAACTAAATTCTCACAGTTCTGCAGTATAATTTTCAAACTACTATTGAATTTTCAGTCTAGTGTGGTCTGAGGAAATACTGGTTGTACAAGCAGCTCACATTCCAACTTGTATAATGGTTTTTATCAGTAGTACAATACCTTCCAACTTCTAACATAAGGATAAACAATAATAGAAAGGAAGTTTCCTGAAACTGTTGTTAACTGCAAAATTACCTGTTTCATACTCTCATCACACCAGTAATTTCTACCAGGAGCACATTAGTTGGTTCCTCTCTACATCCATAAATCTAGCAGAAAGTTATAATTTTAACATTTTAACAGAGACAACATAAAATGTTCCTCTCAGAATTACAAGTGCTTTTAAGCCAATTGCTTGAGGGAAATATACTCCTTGCATCAACAAGTCAGTGAAAGTTAACTGAAAGAGGAGAATAGCTGAGAGATTCTCTCAGTGATTGATAAAGACAAACACCTGTATTAAAGGGCTAGCCACTAAAAATTATGAGAAGTAATGAAGCAGCAACAAATCTTACGTTCACTGTTGATTCCTTGACAACATAATTGTGTCTTGTTTGCTGATATTTTAATCATAGTACTGGAGAACACCCAGTTAAACAAGCAAACAGAAAAAGAATTGAAGGTACATGTCCATATCTTTCCATCTGTAATGGGGGGTGTGTTTGTGTGTGTGTGTGTGCGTGTGAACATGCGCATGCATATGTATGTGTGTATATTTAATTTGGTCTGCATAAATATAGAAATGTCTTTCAATGGTATGCATAAATATATAAATGTATACTTTAAAAAGTATGCATAAATATATACATATATTTAACTTGTCTTATTTTTTAGAAAAAGGTGCAGTAGCCAATGAGAATGTATAGTAGTTAATTATATAGTTCACTTTTATCTTAAGACCAATAATTGCTATTATTTTCATTACTATCATTATAATAAATTTTAAGCTGCCAAAGACATATGACATAAAATGTAACAGAAATCATTATGTTCTTTAGATACATTTGAGCAATAAGATTGCTTTAGTTATAAATCTTGTATAAATATGTATTATTTTACTCTAAATATAAACAATGTGATGAATGTTATATTGTTCACGTATTCAAAAATATACATTTAAAACTCCTTGATTTATACTAAATTCATGGAAAAATGGCTAGACCACAAAAGGTACTGTACATTTTAAATATTCAGAAGTGTTTTTAATGTATTTATTAAACAAATATTTGCTAAGAACTACAGCCATACGCAAAATCTGCTGAAATTCTACAGGCCCTTGAACATTAGGCATCTATCATGGAGTTAACTTCTAATAAATCTACTTCAATAGATTTCATAATGGAATTATGCTTCCACCAGGGTGGGAGAAATGGAAAGTGCTCTATATTTACATACGAAATAACTTTGCATTTTTAAATCAAATTTCTGTTCATTTATTATCCAAAATAGCATGGCCTTCTATAATTAGAATCAAAGGCATTTTATGAAACTTGTTTTTCTGATTTGTAAGCTTCTTGACCTACAAATAGTACTCTTTTAAAAATAACCTGTTAAGATTTCAACACATGAAACTATTTATAGTGGCAATGGATAGTGCCACTTCCACTTATGGTTTCCTTGCCCCTATCCAAATTGAATTCCTAATGTCTTTTTCTATGCCTCTTACAAGGTTACCAGAAAGTGTAACAGAGGCTACCTGGACTACTATAGTTTTCCCAAATACAACACAATCCCAACTTGAGTATGTTTTTAATTGGTCAATATTTTCTTTAAGTAAAATCCAACTCAGCCTCATGGTATGTCTTAAGTATTGTGTTATTCTGTAGTCTATAATAATATGAAATTATCAGTGATATGATAAATGCTATATTATTGCTTGTTATTGTTTCTAAATTCAGTAATTTACTGTGTCACAGACAACAAGTTAATCTTAGCTTTAGCTTTATTTCTCATTTCCATGTACCATTTGACAGGCATCCAAACTTATTCTAGTTAAAGTTGAACAACTTCTGTTACCTCTGATGTCTTTAATTTGATCTAAGTTTATTAACTATTGAGTATTTTCCTTATAATTTTAACATAAATTAAAAGATATGATGGTAGAATATTTATAGAAAAGAAAATTTTAATGAAAAAATACATAAGAATGCCCGCCCTTTCATACAGGACTTTGAAATAAATGGGACAACATCAAGTTATTTTTAAATACTTTAATATTTAAATTGCTTTAAAAATGTTAAGATTTCTATTATGCCATCTAGACCTAGGAAATATAATAAAAATTAAATTTGCACTTGGGTACAAGTGCTTTATAAAAGAATTTTTATCATATATTCCCATGGTTAATTTGCACCCTCCTCCTATTAAATGATGCAAAAAACTTTAAGCCTGAGATGTTATGCTGCATCCAAATCCAGAACCAAATAGCTGCAGGAGTGAACTATTTGAGTTGCTAAAATCAGGGCCTTAAGGATTGTGATGCATAGAAAATACGTTCATCTTAAAGTGAAGCTAGGCACTGTTTATACATTCAAGGCATTTTTACAAGTAGCTTTCGAAACATTTAGGCAGGTGGGGCTAGGTATGCCTTTGGTCTGTTGAACAGATGTGTATCTATGCCTAACAGATCGTAAAAACCTAAAGGTTAATAAAGGGATAAGAGGTGTGATCATGAATAGGGCTTGGTATGAGTCCATAGTGTGATTTAACTATGAGGTTGACACAGTATATAGAGAGGCACATTAACAATACCATTTCCTTTCCTCCAAAGAGATACTTAAATGTTTCCATCTCCATTGGACTTGGTTAGGTGTAACCCTCTGCTAGATTATTTTCAGGTGGCACGGAGTTATAATGAAATGAGACATCAGAATGAAATTTAGAAGCCAATTGTTTCCAAAAAAATCAATAAATAAAATAAGATAAAAATCTAGAAACACAGATTTGTTAAATACATTCTATCATCATTGCATAAAGCAGTGTTTCAAATGAAATTAAGTATTAGAGACTTTTGAGTTTGCTCTTAAAAGTGGAAGTTTCTTTTTGAAACAAAACTATTTCTAGGAGATAAAATCTTAATATTTGAATACTATAGTCACTGTCCTGATGTTATTGACATGTGAAATGCATGCCCTCAGAAATGTAATTCTGAATTTGAATTGGCTTAAACTCATACTGATAAGTCATGAAAATAATTTATGAAATATTACTTAGTGAATTTATACTGTAGGAGACTATATTTACATTATTCCTACACAGCAATTATTTGGAAAGCTCTATCTCTGGAAATCTTTTAAACTGTAATAAATAGCTGTTGTTGAGATGAATATGATTCAGATATGAAACAAGAGCCAATATAAGAAGTCTTGTATTACTAAAATTATTAATAATTAGCATAAGGGGGATTTATCTGAAATTATAGGACAAGGAAATTAAAATTGTGTAAGTAATACTCACTTATATGGGAGAGTTTTTTTTTCCTCCCAAATCTGCATGTAATAGCTGAAATAAATTTACTAATATCCAGCACAAAAATATGAAGCACTCAGATTCACAAGGATGGGGGCATTATATATTTTATCATTTTAGAAATTATATATATACTAGCCTCTATATATATCCTATATATAGAGTAGTTTTTTGTTGCTCTTCTTTCAGATATTCAGCAAAACATAAAGCAGAATTCCAGAAATATGATAATAGTTAAAGCCCAGCTTTATCTCATGCAGTTTGTTGGTTTGCCTTTCTTACAAATGTAAGATGTTAAAATTGTGTTAGAATTTCTATGGACAACTCTTTGTGCAAAGTGTGATATTGAAAAACGCACCTAAATAAGAGTTTCCTAAAGGTGAATTTAAGATCACTTTCAATCTCAACACGCAGTAAAGAAAATGCTTTCCACATGGCTTTCAGCATACCACAATCTAGTTCTCCTCATTGAAGATCATTTAGAGTAGCAGAGAGGGAAGACTCTGAAGGCAGTGTGATTCTAAGTCCAATTTTGTGACTAGTTTTCTGTCTCCAAGAGACTCTCTGACCTGGGCAATTACAGTCAACAAGATTCTGGGTCCAAAGCTCAGCCTTTCAGATGCCTTGGGTTCTGCATAATGTTTCCATTTTAAAGTAAATTTCAGTCAAATTTTAGAATATATATTTGCTAATATGCAAATTTAATTTGTAATTATAAGCAATTTTAAAAAGTGAGCAGGATAAACTTCAACTGTCAGTTGTAAAACAGACTAGATTTTCATGAATAAAGGTGGAATGCATAGTCACCTACTTTCATGGAACATATAGAAAATCTGTTCTTGAACATGATTTACCACAGTAAAGCAATTGTGAAGCTAATATGCAATATTTACCAAGAAATACCTGAGGAGATTGTAAGTACTAATTGCTACAACAGTGTTTATCTGGTGTTTAATTAATTTCTTAGTTTAATTGAAGACAAATGCTTACTGTTCTAGCTGTCTTTCACAAAGCTCAAAACTATGAAAAACACAAAAAGACAATCTCATTAAATTTCATTTTCCCAATATCTAAAAAATGGGATTGATAATATGAATTAAATGAAGTGATGAGTATAAAATGCCTGGCACGTGTATGTGCTCAACAAATGTAAGGTATGATTAGACAGTATTTAATTTCATTATTTTTAAAACTTTAGTCCTCATTTTTTTTTATTTGGAGCATTATTTCATAATATTTGCAATTTTTAGATAGATAAAACATTTACATGGTTCAAAATTCAAGAGTAACAAAGGACGTGTTTTGGAAATTCTTAATCACCTCACTCTCTTTCCAACAACTGGTTCCTTGTCTGAAAATAACAAATACGATCATTTTCTTCTCTATCTATACAGGTATATTTTATATATTTACAGGCAAATATAAAAGTATTATTCACTTTTAGACATTTTGTCAGAAAGCATGATTAACACATTTCTGTCTCTTACTTATATTCAACTTTTGTTATGGAGAGGTTCTCTCTTACTTCATTGGACCTTCTTGGAATTGACAGCTGGCTTAGTTGACATTTAGTGCTTACCTACTCTCTCTAGGTCTAAGATCTCATCTTGCCTCTTCTGACGTCCAGTGGAAAACTGTAGTTCTTGTCCTAAAATTTTCCACACACTCTTCTCTCCCCTTTTCTGAAATAAAAACTTATTCTAAGAAAACTTTGGAAATTTAACCATTTCATAATTTTAAAATACTCAATCATTAATATTTATTTGCACCAAAATGCATATACTCTGGTTTTATTTATCTCTTCCTTAATATATAAGGATTTAATGCAAGGTCTGAAAAGTACAAAAAACAAACTTTTTCAGTTTCAGAGTTATGATTTGTAAAATATGTAGACAGTATGTTAATAGGAGATTGGAACACAATAGTTGTGAATGATAGTTCTTCTTCCAAACATCTGCCATTTTAAGCAATTCATCTTTCTTCTCTGTAAGTCTATAACATTATCTTTAAAATAAGTAAGTGGAGCCAAGTTGGTTCTAAGTTCCTCAGAATGAACGTGGTGGAACTTTTGAAGGTTAATTTTAATGTATCAATTAAGTCGGCCACAAGGTGCCCAATATTTGGTTAAACGTTATTCTGGGTGTCTCTGCGAGGGTGTTGCTGGATGAAATTAACATTTGAATTGGTATACTGAATAAAGCAGACTGCCCTCCCCTCTGTGGGTGAGCCTTATCCAATCCATTAAATCCTTTGAAGGCCTCAATAAAACAAAAAGGCAGAGTAACAGAGAATTCACTCTCTACCTGTCTTTGAGCTGGGACATTAGTCTTCTCTGGACTTCAGAACTGGCGCAAACTGGGACTGACACTCTTGGCTCTTCTTGGTTCTCAAGCCTTCAGATTCAGGTTGGAACTATACCACTCGCTCTTCTGCTTCTCCAGCTGGCCAACTGCAGATCCTGGGGTTTCTCAGCCTCTGTAACCATGTGAGCCAGTTGATTACAGATGCTCCTCAACTTTTGATGAGGTTACAGTCTCATAAACCAATAGTAAGTTAAAAATGTTATAAGATGACAATGGGTGTTTTGTAGACATAATAGAATGCAAAAACACAAAATACAATATCAAAAAATGCTGGCAACACAGCACATTTCAGAGTATTGGTTGTTTACCGCTCCCCAGAATTGAGAGAGAATATTGTATCACATATCACTAGACCTGGAAAAGATCAAAATTCACAATTTGAAGTATGGTTCCTATTGAATGTGAATCACTTTTGCACCATAGTAAAGTCAAAAAATTGTACGTCAAACTAGGTTTAAGTCAGGGACCATCTGAATAATAAATATTTCTCTTTCTCCTCTCTGTGTATATGTGTGTATATGTATGTGTATATACATATATATGTGTGTGTACACATACACATATATTTACCTACTTACACACATACATATACACGTATACCCATTTATCTTGTATTAATTCTGTTTATCTAGAGAACTCAGACTAATGGAGTATTTTATGTCTGCAAAAGCCTCTTTTTGCTACCATCTACAATACAAATGCAATATAAAAGAAATATGGAGAAATAGTGAGAGTTGGATATATCTAGAAAAATTTTAAAACAGTAAGTACCAGGTTTTTTTTTTTTTTTTGCATTTTCTGAAGAATGAGGCTTCTGTGTTGGGTTGAAAAGTTGGCGTTTCCAATTTTTAACATAGGAATTATTAAAAAGATGCATGTAAGCCATTCTATATTAACTTTTTAAGGGTACATGTTAAAAAGTAGAATTTGTTTTCTCTTACTTAAATTGTTTAAAACTATCATAAAATAATATGGAAAAATAAAATTCAAAAAGAGAAGGCAGTGAAACACAAATTTAAAAGTAATGAAATGAAGATGCAATTTAAAAGAACATTGAAAATGTAAATGTCCAGTCCCTTACCCAGCCTCCCAGAAATAACTGCAGTAGTGGACCCTGTCAGTGACACTCCAAGATTCCTTTTCTGAGCCAGTATACCCATATTTTAGATGCTGTGAGTGTGAGTATTGGCTGCTAAAGTTTTACAACAAATGCTTAATGGGTCAAAAAGCACATGTGAGGATTCTGTCAATTGCTAAGTGCTTTTATTCAAATGACTTGCAGAACTGGATAAACAAAACAAACACAAAAAATTAAGTTGAATTTGTGGACCCACTGGTCCCACTTTGAGATGATCTGGAGCCATACCTCTGTTGATCATCTAATTTCCATAAGCCCCCGCTCAGTCATGGGCCAGAGTTGAGTTTGGTGTTCCTGAAATTAGGGTCAGTTCACAATCAGTGCCTGGGAAAGTTCTGTTTATTACCCCTTCCCAGATTCTCAGTCACCCTCAAAAACAACCACAAGCTCTTTGAAGAAGAAAGAAGATTTATAGTACACGATTTTGGCAGTTAACCCCTTAAGTTCTTCCTGAAGGAGTCCTGGCCTCCCATACATTCCAAGAGTTCTGAGTCTGTGAACTGGATCAAGTATGGGAATTGTTGGAGGGATCATAACTGTCTGTTTTGATAATTCAAGTCAGATACCTACTAACAAGATTCAGAGCTTTTTGGAATATGTACACTAAATTAGAATTTTGTAGACTATGTATTTCAGTTATAGGTAGACCATGATTTATTAGCCAATGGCAAAGACCATGCAGTTCAAATCATTCTAGTTACTGCATTGACTGTGATGTCTTTTACAAGAACGACATCCACATTTCCCCTGGTGATTAAGTAACACTCAGTTTGTGCAATCCCAGCTACACATCATCTAACTTGAATTTAGGGAGCCCTGTTCAATGGCCTTCCGGTTGTATTCTTAGCCTCCACAGAGCTCTTCAAGAATTTCTGGGCCGGGCGCGGTGGCTCACGCCTGTAATCCCAGCACTTTGGGAGGCCGAGGTGGGAGGATCACAAGGTCAGGAGATCGAGACCATCCTGGCTAACACGGTGAAACCCCGTCTCTACTAAAAATACAAAAAATTAGCCGGGCGTGGTAGCGGGCGCCTGTAGTCCCAGCTACTCGGGAGGCTGAGGCAGGAGAATGGCGTGAACCTGGGAGGCGGAGCTTGCAGTGAGCTGAGATCGCGCCACTGCACTCCAGCCTGGGCGACAGAGCGAGACTCCGTCCCAAAAAAAAAAAAAAAAAAAAAAAAAAAAAAAAAAAAAAAGAATTTCTGGGCACTGCTCAACACTGCATTTCTAGAAAGCTTTGTAAAGAAGGTATCCTCTGTACTCTCCCAGGGGACATAGTTTGGGAGTAACTGAGCATGACTTAAGTGATAAGTCTACTCTAGGATCCCAGTCTCCATAGTCTTTTGTAGACTTTCTTCTAGAGTGTACCAAGGAAGTTCTACAACTTCAGTTTCATTTGTTGTAGACCAACCAGGCAAACTGGTAGAGCCACTCCCATTGCTTGAGCTAATACATTGATCCAGACTATGTTTTTGGCCTCCCTGCTGCCTTACACTTCAGCAAATTCTTCACAAATTAAGCTTTCTATTGGGTCTCCTCAACTATTAACTTTAATTATTACCTCTCCATGAAACTGCTTATAGCTTTGCTAAGTTTTTCTTTTACCTTGAAGAGGTCCTTTGGTTGTGACACACCTGTACCCAAAGCCTAGCCTCAAAATCACCAAATGCTACCAAAGGAAATAAGATGCTTATTGTTAGCTCATGTCTGAATGGTGATCCTATCTCTGGACTATTAGCTCATCAAGACTTCTTTTCCTGCACAGCTTTCTGATACATTTAAAAATTATGAACTTTATACCACAAATTTTGGTCTTGCTTAAACTTATTCCATCTTACTCAGAAGCAGTGCTCCCCATTTGGTTATACCAATTAAGAATTGTGTATATTTAGTTGGAACTCCTTGATTCCTTGATGTTTTAGAGTTGAGAAGAGAGTTGGTTATTGTTGAAATCTTGAAAACCCAGAATACAAGCCTCTTTATTTCGGGACACTACATTCTCTAGTTAACCTGACAAAACTCATTTATTTCAGTACAAAAAGAAATTTCTGACTCTAAGTTTCTTTGTGATTCGTCAGGATACACATACT